>NC_000002.12:13077559-13384315 GCF_000001405.40 Homo sapiens
AGTCATATTTGACATAACTATTACAGAAGGCAGGAAGGAAGTATAGGAATGGAAAAATGAGAAGAAGAATGAAAGGAAAGCATACAGAGGAATTTTCTTATTTTTTTTTATTATACATGGATTTACACTGAGGACCAGAGGATTGACTTGTCCAGAGGTTCAGAATGTATCTAAAAGATCTATAGTCTACATTTCTCCATTCAGTTCCATATATATTGTATCCAGGATAGAACACACATCCCCTTATTCCCTTCTCCTATTATATTCCGATTTAGAATAATAATATTTAAAGGAACCTAGAGATAAATGTATGGGAATTTGGACTTTCATTTTTTCTTTCCAATTTGCCCTGTTCCTCATAATTTTAAAACAATTCCAGTTGAAAATTCATCTGGGCGTCAATGAGCTATTAAATACAATCTAACTGTATCAGAAACTAATTATTCCAGCTGGCAACAAACTCAAATGTACCAAATTAATAGCTTGGTTCTTCCCAGGATCTATAGTACATTAGCAACAATGAGCATGATTATAAAAAATGTTGTTTGAGGGTATTGGAAAATTATCCCAATGAACACTGCTGTAATTATAATTATGAATTAAAATAATAGTAGTTCATCTGGGGAGTCAAAAGCTCTTTTCTGGTAATTTTTTATTATTGCAATCTGAGCTTAAAATTTTTCACCCTGAGCTGAAGCAGAGGGAAGAAAGGAACAGTTTATCAATAATAAACTAGGACATAAAATATAAGAATACACAGAGTGGAAGAACCAAATATATAATTACCAATAGATAAATTTAGAGAAAGAGAGAGAGAGAGAAAGGACTCCATAGCTATAATCTATAGATTTAAATCAGCAGTAGATTGAGAAAGAAATCTGATGTGATAAATGAACTAATAGGTCAAAAACTACTGGTCATTCAAATATTATTAAGGCACTATATTATCTTTTGTGCCAAGCTACGATACTATGCAAGTCAACAACAAAAAAAGATATAATGTTTTTACAACTAATCAACCTATAAGGAGAGTTAGAAAATATAAAACTCTATTGTTAAGGTCCTTAAGGAAATATTTGGTTCTGTAGAAAGCAAGTAAAATGCTGTAGGAAATTTCAGGATAATATGAACTAATTAAAGAGATTACAGAAGGTTGGCATAGTCAGAGAGAGCTTTTCAAAGTGTTGTCTAATTTAAAGCACTTTTATAGTACAAGAGCAAAATACTTTGCTCAGTAATTATACTTGGGGATTCTATAGGATCTGACATGGCCACTATTCCATTTTCACCCCTAATCTCATAAGGAGCATGTAGTAAACCCATTGCACTGAATTTCACAAACACTACCCAGCCATTTATGTATGTGCACATATGCACATGCCTGTATGTAATATATATATAATATGATACAAAATGTATTACATATGATATATATGTAGCATATACTGTATTTATTAATATCTATCTATGTGTTGATTAAAATTTCTACAAGTGACTGGATAGGGTGATTGAATCCAAGTAAGTTTTACTAGTATTTTGTGCCTACTGTTGCTACTGATAATTTAACTTACAAATTCTGCTTAACTCATTGTTGGAGCAGCACATAACAGGTTAATTCCCCCATCTTCTCCCCTGGAATTCATCTTAATGCCTAAGTTATCAAAAGATGTTAGATATCTTTTTTTTTTCTGAATCCCTGCTTCTCCTAACCCACATGATATTGGGGTGAGGATAAATGAAAGAGCAGACACAGAAGGGCTTTATTACTTTGACACCTGCTATACACGTGTGCAAAAGAAATAGTGAAGAGCACATGCCAGACTCTGCCCCTCATAATAGCTGAACATTCCTATGTGCCAGGCTTGTTCTCCCACATTAGATGGATTATTTCATTTATTCCTTAAAAGGCTATGGGGTTCTCATGATTATTATGTTCACAGCATAGGAGAAGAAACTAGAGTGTTACAAACACTAAATACAAGAACAAGGATACACAGAAAACAGTGTCAGTGCCAGGCTTTGAGTGAAAGTGATTTGTTTTATGCTATATCCTATGGTGGATACTTTGCAGATGCTGGGGACACAGATGTATGGAAATAGTGTTTCTCCTTTCTTGAGAAGGTCAGAATTTACTAGGGGAGGCAGATATGTAAATAAACAATATAGAATAAACATAGAGTGATAGAAGCCCAGATAAATAAGAATTTAATTCTGGAGCATTCTCAAAAAATATTTTATGGGCAGACAACATTGTTTTGTGTGTGTCTTGGAAGAATCTTACCAAGGTGGAAAAAAAAAGGAAAGCATTTCCCAAAAAGAGAGAAGTAGAGTGAAGTTTCATAGGTAGGGAGGAGCCAGATAAGCCTGTGAGTGGCAAACCTCCAGGCAGGTCAGAAAGAGGAGATGATACAAAGACAGGGTTTCTCTACCTAAATTGTGGAAATTGAGCTTAGGAGAAAAGATTGGACTTTTATTGTGATTGTCGTATTGCTTGCAATACATTTGTAGTACAATGTATTTGCTTCCAGAGGTGTTCAAGTTGGGGTAGTGAAACCAGATCATACTTTCAATGAATGGAGCAAGACGGAATCTTGACATCCTCACCAGCTATGTGAACTTGAGCCCAATGGTTGAGGAAAAAAATTATCAGTGTGCTGTGCATGAATGCTATAGACCAAATGTTTTTCTCTCCTAAATTTATAGGTGGAAATTCTGGTCCCCAATGTGGTGGTAAGAGGAGGTGCGGCCTATGGGAGATGGTTGGGTCACAAAGGTGGAGTTCTCATATTTAAGATTAATGCCTTTATGAAAGGGATCTCAGAAAGCTCCATCTCTGTTTTCCATGACATGAGGACCTAGTGAGAAGATGGTCATCTGAAACCCAGAAAGTGGCCCTCACTTACATCATACCATGCTGGCACCCTCATCTCAGCCTTCCAGATTCTAGATCTTTGGGAAACAAATGTCTGCTCTTCAGTTTATGGCACTTTTTTAATAACAGCCTGAACACACTGAGATAACAAAGTCCCTGGGAAAACTGGCTGAGATATTGTGCATGATGGCATTGGGGGCTAAGTGATAGGAAATAGTAAAAATTGCTCCTAAGTTGCAGCACCAAGGGACCAAAGGAGAACTTGTAACTAAGGCCAAGAGCAGAACTGAGTGTAATCCTGAGGATTTGGTGGCTTCAGCTGTGTAAGGGGCTTCCTGATGTCAGAGTGGTAGGGCGTCATTCTCTCTTAGCAGCCTGGACACGGATTCCTGATTCTCTTTCTTTCACCAAATAGTCTTCCTACAGTAAGCTTCTAGGTGTAGAGAACCTACCAAGATCATACTGTGTCTTCCCTTTCTGGGCTCTAAAAGATACTTAGAGGCGCTTTTTTTTTCTTTCTTTCTTTTTTTATTTTAAAGGTGATGATCACAATGGGAAAAGAGCAGGTTATTAAAAAATGAACTATTTGAGAGAAAATAATTTCTACAGGAGACCATACTCTTTCTGCCAATCCTATGTCCTTCATTCTCAGACAGCTGGATCATTAGATGAGCCCTACTGGTTGACAAGTGTTGGTTTCATGTTAAGCCATTCTTCCAGCCCAAGTAGAGAAATGATTGTCCTCCTCATCCATTCTACTTCTGTTTTTCTGAGTCCCACTTGCTACTAACCAGATGCATGTAAACCTGAACTTCACTTTCTGTGTGGCCTTGCATGACCTCAAGGAAAGGTAAAATTTTGCTCTGTGTGGGCATTCAGTGCTCCTTTATCATAGTATCTCTCCCGTTGTGCTATATTATGAACTCCAGGAACAGACTGGCCAGGTTCAAAGTATTTCCACCACTTGCCACTATGGGAGCCTGGGGTCAATACTCAGCAAACAAGAATTAGAATCAGATAGGTGATGATTGTAGAAATGACAGTTGAGTGATTTCAGTGACTGACTTCTTTGAGGTAAGTTTTCTTACCTGTCAAAGGTGGGCAATATCAAATTATTGCTTAGTGTTTTATTGTAGATTAACTGACTTCAACTTACATAGGACACTAAGCACATGGTGAGAGCTCAATACATATAAGAGATTACTCTGTCTGTATCTGATAAGTCTCTATTGGATTGTGAAGTATCTATCCCTGATACAGTGCTTCGCATAGAAAAGTTGTTAATGCACTTTTTAATTAAATTGCCCCTACTTTCCCATTTTGTATGTTGACCCAACCGTAGATTGGGATCACCAACTGTTTTTTTCCTACTCTGGTCACAGATTCTCACCTGAATCACAGTTCTTTTTAGAGTCCTAATGCCAACTGGGTTTTGCTTGGCTTGTTCTCTCACTCAAAACCTTCATTTCTCCATAGTCCCAGATCCTTTTTTAGATCCATAAAATCAAATAAGCCGTATGCTTTTTTCTATGACAGGATGTGGTTTAAAAAAACAGGTTTCATGAAATGCATATCAGATCACATGATTTCTGTAAGCACTGTGAGGTTTGAGTTTATTTTATGTAAGGTTCTCATTGCTGTTGTCATTTTACACTTTGTCACATTATAAGACAGGGTAGTGTTGCTGGTATTGAGATATCCTTCACTCATCAGAATAGTCAACCTCTTTTTTAAAAAATCTGAAAAAAATTACTAGTTCAGTCACTGAAATCTCTCAGCCATAATTTCTCCAGTCACCACCTGTCTGGTTCTAACTCCTGTTTGCTGACTGGGTCTTTTTGTATCAACACTTCTGGAATTGGAAAGAGGTATTTATTGCTTCTCAGTCACTTAGGCAAGAGCTTGATTTTGAGCCCACGTTTGCAGTAGACATAGTTCTTCCGATCCTAGCGTACTTCTGGCTAACTTCTCCTTCTTGGTAGCCCCATGTTGCTGGTAACCCAAATGTTGTCCATGCAGAGTAGCTGGACAGAGGTTCAAACTGAAGCTGCTTCCAAGATGATGTTAAGAATTCAGCAGCAACATTTTATGTAGTTCTCAAGTAGACTTGTGTGGATGTGCCCCAGGGCCTCTAAAGTGTGAAAGGAAAATAAAAACCTGGGGTGCCAATTCACTATGCCAAAAGAAAAAAAATTAAGTTGAAAGCTGAATCATGCAAGAAACTGCCTTTTCTTGTACCTGAGCAGATGGCTACAGATAAAGCTACAGATAAAACAGATAGCTACAGATAAAGGCTAAATATCTCCGTAGGTGAACATAGGTTCACCTTATCTTGTATAAAGTGCCAATTTACTGAGCATAAATACATAATTGACTATCCCTCTACCTGCTCCTCTTCTCTTGCAAATTGTGGATCACTATTCCCTCCTTCTTTCCTCTTTAAATTTTGAGGCCCTTGAAATCGTATCTGGAAAAACGCTCAGACCACAGACTGTTTTGCTGATTCCATGTTCATTTTTTTCAGGTATGAGATTAGCTTTGGTAAAATACATTTCGATATGGATTGAGACCTGTCTCTAATACTTTTTGGTTTACAAATTGGTGACCAATGGAAGGGACTCTGAGTGGAAGTGGCCCTGACGTTTGACAAATCTCCTGTTGGTGTTTGGTACCAGCTTGGGCTATCTTCATTCCTCAAATCTATACAATAATTCACTGAGGTCCAGAAGCTCACACCTCCAGAAAAATCCTTGATCTCTCAAAATTTCGTTATGATCTAAGGTTTATGTTGCTGTGTAACTCCTTTTCTGGAGTTGTACTCGTTTCTGACAAAGAAGGCTGATTTTCCTGCTTCCATGGCAATGGAAATGCTTTGTCTTGGAAATGCTCCTTAATGACTGAATGGTAAGATTAGTATCTATCTGGTCTTAATTTCTCTTTATCATTTGAGTACTCTGTAATTCTTTTGCTTGGTTTTGTATTGCTAGTGTTTCAGTCTTTCTCCCATCAGATTTCACCAACTCTACCTGACTTGGTCACATCTGAATGAGAATTCCAAATTATGGGGAACAAGGTCTCTGAATCGGTTAAAATTCCTCTCAGCTGCAAAGAAGAAGAAGAAGATGAAGAGGAAGAAGAAGAAGAAGAGGAAGAGGAAGAAGAGGAAGAGGAAGAGGAGGAAGAGGAAGAGGAGGAAGAAGAAGAAGAAGAAGAAGAAGAAGAAGAAGAAGAAGAAGAAGAAGAAGAAAAGACCTATGCCCTTGGCCTACTTTCTTCCTTAAAAATTATTCTTTCATTCACTGTTCTTCCACCTTATGCCTCCTTCCCCTTTTGCCATCTTTGGTACCAAGTAAAAAAGCTTTTAATGACTTGGACCCCTTAAAAAACTCAGAAGAAAGGTACCACTTGCTCATTTTTGGAGTGATCTGCTTTCTTTGTGGAGTTTCAGGAGGCATGGGCAGATTCTTCTTAGTTCTAAAGCTCTTCTTTCTTGTTTTGCATCACCTGACTTCCTTGGCTTTGCGGGTACCAGATATTTCCTTGTACTGTGAGAGGATTTAACCTTAGCGTGTGTAATGGCAGACAAGGGCTACAATTTTAGGGGTGGCTGAGGACAGTTTATAGGAAATAGTAATTACTACAGAAGGCTACTTGTTTCTTTGGGCATTTAAATAAGAAAATAGTGTATGCTTTCCTGGCCGTGTTCCTTAAAGGGCTGCACCCTAAAGTGAGTAATCTAATCAAGCTGTATTGGAAATACCACCTATCAAACTAAGTCACTTAAATAAAACTCTTTGTAAAGGAAATTTACATCTTTAAAGGAAATCTCCATTTTGTAAAGGCATGCCTGTCTCTGCACCTAATCACTAGAAACTTTAACTGGGTAGAAGTCAGTGGTTTAAAGTTTACATAACAGACTATGCCTTTGTTTAGATCTAAATCTGTACCATAGAGATGTACATTTTCTACCTTACTTCAACTGAGTCATATTTTTGGAGACGCAAATGTAGAGTTGCCTAATTAACAATTGTTCAGGATATGGAACAGATAACCAAGAGATTAATAGTCTAAAGTAAGGAAGAGAAAATATTTGAAAATTGGCAAAGAAAAAATTTTAAATATGTAAGAGCTGCCTCTGTCTTATTCTGTTCTGTGTATATGTTTACATGTCTCATATGGAAATAATATTTCTCTACCAGTTCTACGAAAGAGCTCTAACTAGTTAGCTTAAAGAAAAGTAAGCCTTTATCAGACTAATAGAAGCTGGCTCAGAGGCCTTTCAATTCATATAACATAACATTAGTAATCTTTGGTATGATTAATTTGATAAATTTAGTCTCAAAAATCTTTCCAGCAATCTAAAATCTTAAAATAATGTTATGTTAAATTAAGTAATCCTAGGTTTTTCACTGGCAATTGGCATCACTAAGAGAATAGTAGGAGTGTAAGATGTCTTTTTAGTGAAGTTTATACAAAACATAAAGAAGTAGTATTTCATTATACATTATTTTTCCTAGTTTAGAGGACCTTTCTACTGGTGTTGAGTTAAAACCCACTGTTTGCATCCAACCATTTTCTTATAAACTGGTGAGTTTGTGTTAATGCCTCATGGCTAGAGTTCCAAAGCAAAAGCTATGGGATCTTTATTTGTATGAGTGTGTATGTGTGCTTAGTTGTGTTTATATGCATGTACATGTGTTTTGTTATTTGTTGTGGCACAAGGTACCAAATTGGCTTAAAAATAAAGGGGTACTCATAAATTAAGTAAATATGCTCAAATGCTTTTTAAATTCATGTGACTTAAGTAAAATTTTAATAAATAAGCTGGTTTTAAAAGTATCGGTAAAATAAAGTTATAAGTGTCTTCAGAATTTTCAACATACATTATTGTTTAGATTTATTGCTCAAAAAATTTTATATTTATCTCTACATTTGTGAGATATGAGACAGCTATTAAAACTACTCAACACCTCTAATTTCAGGAACTATCACAGAAGAGGTGGGAGTGAGAGATTGTAAGGGCCAATACTGAGAGATAAAATTAGTTCAGAGTTTCTCTATAAATTAAACATTAATACCAAGGGCACACTGATGCAAGACCAGCATCTGAGCCCCTGTGTCAGATTAATAAGGTTTTCTTGGAGAATCAACCACTCTTTAATTTAAAAAATAATTGTAAGAGTTTATTAAAAGGTTTACAGAAATTTTATCTTGTGGCCAAAATAATTAAAATTTAATAGATTTGTTTATAAAATTTGAGAGACAGATAAATTGGCCTTATGCTGTCTTTCTTAGGACTTACTATTTAGGAAAGTAAGTTTCCTCTATCAAAAAACAAAAGTTTTTGGCTTTTTTAAATCTTTGAGTCATCACTTTGGCTAAATGAATGACTTATTTTACAGTGACCTGTGATCCTGTTTTGGGATATCAAGTGTTTTAAACTTATAATATTTGACAAACTTTCCAAAATCAGATTCCAAATTCAATCTTTTTGACTTCATTAATTTTTTGATATTATGTCCCCTTAAGTTCAAATGAGACATATTTGGCTTATTTGGTCTAATAAAATCATACAGGAGGCATTGTCAAGTATGAAATTGTGTTTAACCTTCTTTGGACTATATATAACTGTGTTACTAATATGTGTTCCAAAATTTTATGAGATTTCTGTGATTCTAATATATCTTAGTATATGCCACCAATAGTAATTATGACTATATTATGGTTATTATGTAAAATTGTTGAATGCAAAAGAAATAACCTAATTTCCATGTCAGTTGTGTCTTTAACCATGGCTGTTCTAAGATTTTTGTCATCCACAATTGTTATTTTACTTTGATCCTTTTGTAGGGCAGTTTATAATCAGCTACAGAATTCTGAGGAGTATTCTTAACTATAGATTTCTGATCAATTTAGGGATGTGCCATTGGAACAGAGACAGGAACTTTCAAGACTCTTATGGGGAGCTGACATATTCATAAGGTTTGCTGACTCAATATCAAGCAGAACAGGAGTTAATTGCATGAACTGAACTAATAGAAGTGAAAAATAATCTTTTATGACTTTTTGTTTAAAACATTTGCTGATTCTTTTGTTTAGTTTTTCAATCAAGAAAACTTTCTCTTTTAAGCCATTTACAACTTTTAACAATTGATTAAAGTATACTCTTATGAGCAAAATTTGAAAATACCTCCTTTATCTCAAGTAAATTTCTCCAAAATTTGAAAGTATTTTGTGAATATTCTTAGTTTATGACAAGTTATTTATTTTCATAAGTTAAATAAGAATCTGTTTTCATTTATAACAGGGCATAATTGGAGACACTGGTTATTTCACTAAGACTTTGATTGGAAAGACATTTTCAAAAGATTGCCTTGAGAAAATGAGGCTGACCTATAGAGCTGATTAAAGTCCCTTGGAAAAACTGGCCCTATACCTTGTCCTTTACAGGGTCCTGACCTGTGGTAATAAAGAATGTCACTTTCTGACAGTCCCAGGAAGCCTAAGTTTTCTTGGACCTTGAAAAGAGATGAATTCACTCAATTCACACAATTATCTGCAGGCACAGATAAATCCTTAGCTGTGCTAATGGCTTTTAAAAAGTACTAGTCTTAGATTCCTTGTGTAACAGATTCCTGCAAAGCCAATTTAAAGAGAGAGAGAGAGAGAGACTATATGGCAAATGATTATTTTTGGTTTATGCAAATAATCAAGCCAAGGACTAAAACTTATTTTACAAATAAATTGGCCCTAATATGACTTTGTCTTTAATAAAATTGGAGAATCGGAGAAAGAAAAAATTGTGTTTCACAATAAATTGTAGAACACCTGTTATTACATTGTAGCCTTGCCTAATTTTTTTTCTTCAATTTTAACTATTTTCTACAATTTGAACTGAACTCTGAATTTTTTCCTGGCTACAAGTCTCAGATAATATATTGATTATTTTCTTCTTTCTTTTTCTCATTTTCCCTGATTTGAAATCACTAAAAGTAAGCCATACTTTTCTTAAAGTCTTGCAAACTGAAGCTAGACAACTTAGGCTTTGGAAGAAAATAATAGCAACTTATTTATATACGTAAATCATTTTCATACCTGCCTACTGATATATGAACTTCAGAGTCCTGTGGCCTATCTCAGTTTTCCAGGATTGTTCTCCCTTTGTGCTTATTGTTTTCTTTCTCTTTCCTTCCACTTTTTTTTTCTTTTTGGGATGTGAGGCTTCACAACCTACTAAAAATGAGCTTTCCGAACAACGTGAGACCTCTCTGTCTAGGAATAAACCATCCTAGCCATGAGAAATCAGACCAAACCCGAGACCAGAGACTTGTTTTCTTCTAAAACGCTTTCTCTGAAAGACTTTGGAAAGAAAAGGGGTGAAATGCGAAAGGAAAATACAAAGTCAAGACCCCAATTTACTATGTCAAAAGGAAAAAATAAATAAACTGAAAACAGAGTCATGCAAGAAGCTGCCTTCCTTTTTGTTCCTAAGCAGGTAGCTACAGATAAAAGGTTAAATGTCTTTACAGGTAGCTACTCAAGTTTACCTTATCTTCTGTAAAGTGTTGATTTACTGAGTGTAACACAAACATGTACTCAGCTCTTCCCCTGCCTACTCCCTTTCTCTTGCAACATGTGAATTACATACCCTTCCTCTTTCTTTCAGTCCATGTTTCCCCCTTAAATATCAAACCCTGCAAAGTCATCTTTGGAGAAAGGCACAGATCTGTGATTCCGTGTTTATTTCTCCCAGGTGTGTGCTTAACCTTGGCAAAATAAACTTCTAAATTGATTGAGACTTGTCTCAGATACATTTTGGTTTACAAAAGAGACTAGAGCTAGTGTATACTTGGATGCTTTGTTACAGTCCCCTTATGTTTGTCTTCCCCTAAGAAGTTTTAGTAGTATTTCCAGAAACAATGTATGCAATGTATGTGTTTCTTTTGCTTCCTTCTTTTATTCTGTCATAAATATATGTGGCTTCTTTATGCAAATCATTTTTTTCTCAGCAATATAATTTTTTAAATCATTATTTGTACTTTTCATATGTTCAGTTATGTGAGACATAGAAAGTAAAACCTAATAATGCCAAACAGAAGTGTTATTTGCCAAAGAGAAACAGGATTACGCTGCTCACTACAGAGCAGCCTGTGGAAAGAAGCAAAAGGTGCTTATTAAATAATAATGCAAAGAGTTGGCTAAAACACGCATGCATTTGTCGGTAAATGAAGATATTAAAGGTTATGATAAATAGCCATTTGTTTGTATAGAATTATTCATGTGCAGAGAAGAAATACAATAAACATAGAGTGACAAACAGAGAGTTAAAGATGTCAGCATGGTTTAGCCAATGAAGATAAAATTCAGTGATTTCACGTTGTGGTGAGCATCAGTAGATTGGAACATCCACATAATTTAAATTGGTTTCTGGCAGAAGCGAAAAACAAAATGTTTACTGCCAAGCAGTGTTTGTTGCGAAGGACAGAGTATGTTCCTAAAATCCACCATGTACTGTTTCCTCATGTGTCATTGGATATAGTGACCTGTAGCTCCAAGTCCTGCTCTGCGGATTAAATGAGAAACAGGTATGCCATGTGTTTAGGACATAGGAAGTGCCCTCTAGGTGTTAATTTTCTCCACATCATCATGCCAGAATTGATTTTTGGTTACAATAAGGCTGACCAACCCTCTCAAAATATGTTTGAGTCAGTGTAGTATAGTGGAAAGAATGCTTGATTCTATCACCTACTGTGTGACTGGCTGAGTGATCTTTGACATGTTTTATAAAGCCTCTCTTACTTTTAGTTTCTTCATCTTTACATGGAGATTAGATACTTACTCTGACTTGCCATGAGAATTAACATTTAGGTAAATGAGACACCTGGTAGAGTATCTGGAACTTGGTGGCAGCATTTTTTTATTGTTATGTTTATTGTGTTTACTATTTTTTTTCTCAAAATTGAAGATACTCCTTTTCACAGAACACATTCTGAGTACCAATGTTTTCTACACCCTAGAATGTTTGTAAAGCTAAAATAATATACAAAAACTACTAAACCATAAAAAACGTTATGCCTGACTTGTAAGACAAAGATTTATATGTCACTCCAAGGTTCCCTCTTTCTTTGTGCTCAGGAAGTAACTAGCTATCCTTTGGCAGAAACCACTCCTTCCCCAAATTCCATGACTCCCAAACCCTAATAGTTTTTATTACTGGCCCGTGTTAAAAACGCTTAAACTTTTTTTTTTTTTTTTCAAAATCTGCTCTGCAGTGGGAAGTCATATCTTCTTCTTCACCAGAAGAAATTTAAGTGAGATGGATAATAGACAATAGACCTAATGGTGCCATACATCCCCAGTTCTGTTGAGACATTCTGGAGCCCTGCTCCTCATCTTTTGTCTTCAAAGTGCCCTACTTTTGTAGAGATGTGATGTTGTGCCCCACAAATATACAACACTGCAAACTTCAGCTCCACTACTAAGAATCCCATCTGAAGTTACGATGAACCTGATGCATTCACAGGCATATGTGTGCTCATTTGTGTTCTCTTTATTCAATATAGTTCTCCACTCAATGTCTTTCTTGGCCTGTTTAATCTCTGCACTGCCCTCTATTCATAGTCAAGCATTTTTCCCACTTCAATGCACTCCAATAATAATTACTTGCCATAGTGCATTCACTTTATAGAGTACATTCACATCTATGAATACATCTGGTCTTCACAGCAGCCTGTGAGTTTGGCAGAGTAAAAGTCATTTTCTCCTTTCTTGGAAGGAGAAACTGAATCTCAGTGATGTCAGATACTTGTTTTTCAAGGTTAAACAGCTATTAGATGTTTGGGTTAGATTTTAAGCATAGGTCTTGCCTGCATCTTTATTCTAAAATATATAGTTTTAAAAATTTCCCTTATTTCTACTATTTGAGGAAATTTATTCACTATAATTTTTCTCCAGAGCTGAAATATTGGTTTTGGTTTATACATTTAATAACTTACTTTATATTATGTGTAACTTAGGGTTTCATTCACTCATAGGTTCAATCAGTCATCCATTCTTTTGCTACATATTTATCAAGTACATAGAGAGGGCTGGTAGAAAATCAGTCACAAAAGACCTTAACAACCCTCAAGTGAGAAACATTACAAAGTCACCATGAGAATTAGGATTACATATAAAATAACCAATCATCAATCTAACTATAGTTTCAAATATTGATATACAATGTGGGAGCTGTTAAATTTAGAATTCTCGTGCACAAGAGATTTCTTCTACCCATTTATTTATTTGCTTGTTTACTTAATATGAACTCATGGATATTTATTTTATACTTTGGGTAATAATCCATCACTTGTTCATTTATTTTATTCTGCAGGGTTTTCAACTTTGTCCTTTGGGAGCTTTTTCAGTTGGCTTCTGTGTCCCTTTGACATACATCCTTGTGGATTTTTTTTGTGAGCACCTTTTTTTCTTTTCACTTCTGTCACTACAAAATTTTCCAGGTTCATCTTGTAAATTTCTTGCCCAGTGCTAAACTCAGTCATTTCTCCAAAGAACCCTGGTTCAATTTGTTGAAGAATAGTATTAGAAACCAGGATCTTGCTCTGAGGTATGCTTATTGTGATTGAGGTGTCATTGCTTTTAGACACTCACCACTGACACAAATAGGAAATATATGTGTGTATACTAACCTGTGTATATTCACACATATCTTTAAATATTTCTTCACCTAACCATCTGTATCTCTATTAAGCTAAACATAATGTTTGACTCCAGCACACTGTTTAATTTGAATCATATAGTAGGTAGCTTCTTTCATACAGACTTGCTTCTTTCATTCACTTAACAACATACATTTAAGATTTGTCCATGTCTTCTTGTGCCTTATTGCACATTTCTTTTTATTATGTGCAGGGTTTTGTGTGAACAAAACTTTTCAAATCAATTGAGTAGTTGTATTAGCTTCCTAGTTCTGCTGTAACAGATGACCACAAATTGCAGTGCCTTAAAACAAGCAAGTTTATTCTCTTGTAGTTCTGGAGGCTAAGTCCAGAATTAGGGTGCTGGCAGGTTTGGTTCCTATTGGACAGCCTGATGGAGGACCTGTCCTGTGCTTCCCTCCAACCATCTCGTGGTTGTTCTCACTCCTTGACATTCCTTGGCTTACAAACTCATCACTCCAACCTCTGCCTCTGTCTTGATGTTCTGTCCTGTGTCTCTCTTCTCCTCTTCATGTAAGTGCTGAGTCATATGGAATTCAAGACCCATCATACTGCAGTATGAGCTCATTTTAACTAATTGCATTTGCAATGACCCCATTTCCAAATAAAGTCACATTCTAAGGTTTTGGGAAGGACATAAGTTTTGGGGAGACACTTTTCAACTCAGTACAGTAGTTATGCTTTTTTTTTAACACCATAAAATGTAGTCAACATACTTATACACTACACAACACAGATGTGGTAAGACTCTGACAGTCACACAGAATTTTTCTTCAGGAGGGAACTGTCAAAACAAAACAAAAAATGTGGTTTTTTAGAATAACAGTTTGTGTTCTGCTCTAGTTGGATAAATTTATATTTCTCTTTAGTCTCCTTAGTGAATCCGCAGTTGTTCTGTATCCAGCCTGCACACTTACTATTTATGTAATCTTGAGTGAATGACTTAAATTCCTCTTTGTATTCATATTTTCTCATCTCTAAAGTGGAATTACTAATGATAGCCTCTTTCTGTAGAAGAAATCAAGACGTTGTGGGCTGGATGCCCTAACAGAAACAAAACTATTGGAAATGGAAACAAAGATAGGGAAAAGTAAACATTTTCTCAGTTGATGAAGAACACAATGTTTTCATTTGATTGTAGATATAAAAAGGGAATACCCCCACCCCCAGCTGATGTGCTGGCTCCTGCATACAGTGGGCTTTGATGAGTCTGGGGAGCTGACTGTTGTTAGCTCCTGTCTTACTCCCTTTGGGTTGTTGTAGCAAAGTACCAGAGAGTAGGTGGTTTGTAGAGAACAAAAATTTACTCCTCACAGCTCTCAAAGCTGCAAGTCTGAGTTAAGGGTGCAAGCATGGCCGCGTTCTCGTGAGGGTCCTCTTCTGGGCTGCAGGTGGCCAACTTCATACTGTATCTTCACATAGGGAAAGAGGGTGAGCTAGCTCTCTGGCCTCATTTTATAAGGGCACTTATTCCATTCATGGGGACCCCCCTCACGGCCTTGTTGCTCCCGAAGACCTAACCTCCTAATATCGTTCTATTGGGGTAGGCTACATTTCAACATATGAATTTTGGACACAAACCTTCAGTTTGTAACAGCTCGCTTATCACGTGTAGTCAGCTGCTACTGGATATTGTTGGGAAAAGTGCAGTAGGCCACGTTCAAGGGTATCATTTTATCTGGGACACCACTGTAGTTAAAAAAAAATCTCATAAACATTTCGTTTAGAAATAAAGATCATAAAAATTTCATCCTTTAGACATTCTGTCGGAAAAGCCTTCCATAAATCATCTATATGAGAAAGTTGCTGTGAGGCTTAAATGAAATCATGCATAAAAAGCATTGAGATTATTTTTTGACACACAGTAATAGCATACATTGGAATTTGTATTTCTTAAATTAGATCTTTGTATCTATAGATAGAAAAAAATCTCTGTTTATGTTTTTGTTCAAAGTTTTATTTAAGTTAAAAAATCATTATGAAAAGGATTGCCTTCTACTGCATGTACTGCAGAATGCCTGTGTCCTGTCACTACCCTGGGAATTATGCCATGCTGAATTTGCCCTTTTGAGGGGAAAAGTAACTTCTAGATTGTGCTGATATGAAAATATATCTATTTGTCTCTTCCTCTCCCAGCACTTTTGGACAAGAGCATAGTATTATGATTCTTTTATACACTCCTCCTTAATAAAGCAATTTTGGTTTGTTTTTCTTTTAACAGTTTCCTTATGATATAGGTACCATGCCAGGAACAAGAGAATGGGGGAAGGTTAGAGGAAGAGAGAAACAGAAGTGAACTAGATAAAAACTCTACCCTCAAAGTGGATGTTTATTTATGCATTCTTCCCATATGTACTTATTGGACTTGATGATGTGCCTGAAACACTGAAAGTCCCTGTCTATGCAATGGTTACATTCTATCATAAAAAAAAAATCAGATATAAACCACACAAGCTGACGTCTCTAATGGATCTAAGTGAAATACAATTTTGATTCTGGACTCTGAAGTTAGATGTGAATAAACAATACAATTTCCTTAGTGGAACCAGTGGAACTACACAAGGGACTCTCTCATTAATCTATTCTTTGTAGTTCATATGGAAAGCTAACTTGGGAAGGAACATTTTTGCCTCTCTCTTTTGGCCCAGCAAATGGAAAAGTCATTAGTTGTTGATGCAGAGTGATGTGTGGCACTGGGGACTTGTGCTGTGCCAAGGGAGGGGTCCCAATTACTTTCTGTAGCAAAACTAGATTTTTCTTGGACACATTGTTCTAAAACCAATACTTTCACAGCTTCATTTGGGAATTGATTTTTTTCCAGACAAAATGAACTTCATATTCTCAAGACAACACTGTTAGCCAATTTTCCGGATATTTGACTAGAGTTCATCAGCTGGATATTTGAATAACTTTTTATTCTTTTGTGCCAACACAGTAGGCACAATTCCATTTAGGGAAAAATGATAATAAAGCTGCAATTAATTATTGATGTAACCTTAATAAGTACCTAATTATTCTTCCTCTGTCCCAACAACCACTAAATTCTGAGTCAAGAGGTTTGAATTTTACACATAGCGTGCATTGGCTCTATGACAGAGCAATCACTCAGGCACAATAATTCTAAATGATAATCAAAATACTCTCACGCTTCAGAATTGATAAAGCACATTTCCACCACTGTACCACTTTATTTAATTCTACCCCATTAAAGTAGCCTATAAGACAAGTGTAGTTATTTCCATCCATTTTAAAACAAGAAAATTAAGCTCAGAGTGGTAGTAGAAAGTACTTAGGGGAAAGAAGGAATGAATGCTTATATTTATTAAGCCCTAATTATTTGCTTATTCCTCCATATTATTGTTGTCATTTTATTTTTCAGGAAGCCATATAATTTATGCATTTTATCTTCCATTTCTATTGTTGATAGTAGATATTGAATCCAAGTTTCTAAAATGAAACTCCTTCTTTCTTTTCCTTGTATACATCAGCACTTTTGGACATACAGAATCATTTATGTGGAATAAAGTTTCTGCTACCTGTCGTCTGTTAAACTATTTTTATGCACAAATATAATATCCAAATACATTTCCTTCAAATATCTCATAATGTATTATATGAGAAAGAAATTAATATTTTAAGTGTACCATATTAATAGAATAATTACTAATGTATTAATTATTAGTAATATTAATAGAATGTAATGAATGTATTAGTGGTCTACATAAGATATTAATTTGTTAAGAAGGACAGAGTGATTGAATCTGTCAGATGAGCATATCTCATTTTTCTTTCTGCCCTTAGTTCCAAGCATTGCAGAAAACATAGGTCTTCAGTATCAATTGTTTTAATTCATATTCCTTATACCTGAAACATAAATATAGTCAAGCCATAGCTCATAGGGAAAAGATAGAGTAATTTAAGAAAGGTATGCATGTAGACATTATGAAGAACAATCAAGACTCCATATAACATGGGGGAAGACCACAAGAGCTAAATGAAAGTAGAAGTCTGCATACACATCAGGGAAGAAGACAACAGAAAGTATATTATCCAAGCCATAGGTCTTAGGATTCAGGGACATGTCTATCTTCTTGAGGAATCCTGAAGACAGTAGAAAGAGCAGGAAGATGATGTTTATTTTTTTCAACTGGCCAAGGGTTCCTGAAATCTTCTGGATTCAAGCACAGTATGAGTTCCACAGCTTGGTTCAGAAAATTTGCATTAGAAGAGATTCAGCAGCACACACACACACAAAAAGCCAAAATAACGGTAGCATACATGTATAAACATCTGTTTTTTTATCTCATATATAAGTTGTTTAAAGATGGAAGTTAGGAATATAGTGGTAGCAGCACAGTATGAGATACGAAGTTTTCTCTCATCTTGTTCACCCTTGTTAAAACTAGAATTCCATGTTCAAGGTCACTTCAAGGTCTAAGAAGACTGACAGGATGATGATACCATCACATCTGTATCTCAAGAAGCAGAAAAAGAGGAGGTAGAAAAGGAAAAAAAATAATACAAAACAGCAGTCAGACCCATTTTTTCCATTTCCTGGAATTCAGCCTTCTACTTATATGTCAGTGGTCATAACTGAATTAAATGTCTACTTCTAGCTGCAAAGAAGGCTGGAGAATATTCTTTCAGCAATGCCAACTGCTGCCTTGAATTAAATCATAGTATGTAACAAAGTACAAAGGAAAGAATAGCTAGTGGGTAAGCTACTAGTAGTGTCTACAAATATACTCACAGGCTATTCCAGCTCAAGAGGCCAGAGAGATGAGGTGGTGTTTCTTAGGGGGCAGCAGTCAAAGTCCTGAAATCAGATGGGATATGGCTTCGGTGGCCAAAAATACCAGCTGCAGTGTGAATCAAGAAGAGAAATTCCTTATTTAAATTATTTACCTATATCCATTGGAAAATTAACATGATATACTGTGATTTTATTAGACTGAGGCACTTTCCTGCAGTCTCCCAGAAATTTGTCATGATAAGTAAATAAATTACTGCTTTCTTTGCCGTGAATGACACTCCCTTTGTGATATAGTTTGGCTGTGTCCCCACCCAAATCTCATCTTGAATTGTAGTTTCCAAAATCTCCATGTGTTGTGGGAGGGACCTGGCTACAGGTAATTGAATCATGGGGGTGGTTACCCTCATGTTATTCTTGTGATAGTGAGTGAGTTCTCATGAGATCTGATGGTTTTATAAGGGGCTTTTCCCCCTTTGGCTCGACATTTCTCCTTCCTGCCACCATGTGAAGAAGGACATATTTGCTTTCCATCATTATTGTAAATTTCCTGAGGCCTCCCCAGGAATGCTGAATTGTGAGTCAATTAAACCTCTTTTCTTTATAAATTACCCAGTCTTGAGTATGTCTTTATTAGCAGTGTGAGAACAGATTAATACACCTTGGATAGTGAGCTATTAGTGCACTACATTATCGGTTCAAGCATAAACAAAGGCCCTGGAAGAAGGTAACATCAAACTCGATGACATCTATTCATCTGTTTTAGAGTTCCAAGTAGTACTAACAAGGACCAGAGTGTGTTTACAGCTAATCTAGGGAGGTGGAAAAAGCGTTGGTTACAGTACAGCCTTCAGAGGGCCTATGAAAGACAGCCTGTAAATCCAACATTTGAATGCTTGCTCCTTGAGAAAGAATTCTCTTTGCCATTCCTGGGTTATATCTATAAACCAGAAGAAAGTAGCATTTCACTAAGCTCAAATATATAATAAAAGTTCCTGTAAATCTAGTCAATGAAACTTCAACTTGACATTTTGCTGATCTCTGAAGTATTAAATTATTATGTAGCACATTTGACTGTGTGTTAAGACACTCAAAAATTGTCAAATTATATACAGAGTAAAATTCAAATCAAATATTTGAAGAAATGCCAAAGTACACCACAGTAGTAGAGTTCTATGAAACCCAGGTTGAAATTACATGTTAAACGATGCTCTTGATCTCCAAGGTTGTAAGCCTAGAGTTCATTGAAGTGGAGCTTGGGAGACAGGTTTGGAGAGGAGGAGGTCTCATTAGTGCTGAATTCAATGACATTGTGATGACAGGGATTACCCTGGCTTTATCCCAGAGTCCAACTTGGGACACTGGGAAAATTAGCAAATCAAGGTATTATGCAAAGGAATTGGGCTGGGTTTGGAAGACTTGTGTACTTTATGAAGGGTAAATTTGTGAACAGAAAAATAGAGATTTCTGTATCTTATATCCAGTTCTTTTAAATACAACTTTCCTCTTATCAACAGCTGGAGGACACATGATGTGACAAATGCAATTAAACCTAAGGGGACAGTTCTTTAATACTGGATTCCATCAGATGGGATGAGCCTCCTTGGTAGGAGATACAGTATCACAGCAGCCCTGTACAAATATATACACCTATAATTTCAGGGTTGTTGTAAAATCTAACTCAGACAATTTTACATAACTTCTTTGTTTTATTTTATTTTATTTTTAGGTGGCAAATAATGATGGTAGATATTCATGGGGTACAATGTGATGCTTCAATACATTGATATAATCGTAGCTTTGTACCCGTTGACCAATATTTCCCCTTTCCCTTTCCACCCCTCCCTGCTCCAACCTCTGGTAACCACCTTTCTACTCTATACGTTGATTTCAAATGTTTTAGATTACTCACAATGAGATGATATGGTATTTGTCTGTCTGTGTCTTGTTTATTTCATTTAAAGCATTTTTCTCTAGGTTCATCCATGTTGTCTCAAAAAGAAGTATTTCCAGTTTTATCATGGCTGAATTGTATTCTATTGTGTATATATGCCATATGTTTTAGTACATTCATCTGTTAATAGAGACTTAGGTTGTTTTTGTATCTTTTCTATTGTGCATAATGTTACAATGAACATGATACTGCAGGCATTTCGTCAGCATACTTATTTTAATTCCTTTGGGTATATACTCAATTGTGGAATTGCTGGAACTTATGGTAGTTTTACTTTTAATTTTCTAAGAAACCTCCATGCTTTCTGTGAGGGCTGTACTAATTTGCATTCTCACCCACAGTGTACCAGTGTTGCCCTTTCTCCACATCGTCATCTGAGTCTGTTATTCCCTGCCTTTTTAATAAAGGTCATTTTAACTGGAGTGAGATGATATTTCATTGTGGTTTTAATTTATATTTCCCTGATGATTAGTCATATTGAGCATTTTTTTCATATATCTGTTGGCCATTTGCATATCTTCTTTTGAAAAATTGCTATTCAGAAATTTTGTCCATATTTTAATTGAATTATTTGTTCTGGTTTTGTTTTGCTATTGATTTGTTTGAGTTCTTTTAATAGTCTAGTTACTAATCTATTGTCAGACAGATAGTATGCAAATGTTTTCTTCCATTTTGTGGATTGTCTCTTCACTTTATTTTCTTTGTTGTCCAGAAATTTTCTAGCTTGATATAATCCCATTTGTGTATTTTTGCTTTTGTTGCTTGTACTTTTGAGATCTTATACCAAAAAATTTTTGCCTAGACCAACGTCCTAGTCTCCAAGTCTTTCTTCTAGTAGTTTCATAATTTCATGTTTCTATGAGGGCTTAATCCCTGCATCCGATTTCTGCCTGGACATCCAGGCATTTCCATACATCCCTGAAATCTAAGCAGAGGTTCCCAAACCTCAGTTCTTCATCTCTGTGCCTCCCTAGGCCCAACACCATGTGGAACACCCATGAGGGGCCCAGCACCCTCTGAAGCAATGGCCTGAGCTGTACCTTGGCTCTTTTTAGCCACAACTGGAACTGGAGCAACTGGGACAGAGGGCACCATGTCTTGAGGCTGCAAAGAGCAGGGGATGTGTCCCTGGGCCCAGCCCACAAAACCATTTTTTCCTCTTAGACCTCTGTGCCTGTGATGGGTGGGGCTGTCATGAAGATCTCTTGACATGCCCTGGAGACATTTTCCCCATTGTCTTGGTGGATAACATTGGACTCCTCAATACTTATGCAAATTTCTGCAGCTGGCTTGAATTTCTACCCAGAAAATGTGTTTTTCTTTTCTACCACATGGTCAAGCTGCAAATCTTCCAAACTTTTACTGTCTGTCACTTCTTGAATGCTTTGCCTGCTTAGAAAATTCTTCTGCCAGATAACCTAAATGATCTCTCTCAAGTTCAAAGCTCCACAGATTTCTAGGGCAGGAAAAAATGCTCCCAGTCTCTATGCTAAAGCATAGCAAGAGTGGCCTTTGCTCCAGTTACCAAGAAGTTCCACATCTCCATCTGAGACCACCTGAGTCCAGACTTCTTTGTCCACCTGATTTTCAGCATTTTGGTCAAAACCATCTCAACAAGTCTCTGGGAAGTTACAAACCTTTCCACTTCTTCCTGTCTTCTTCTGAGCCCTTCAAACTGTTTCAATCTCTGCCTGTTACCCAATTCCGAAGTCGCTTCCACATTTTCAGGTATTTTTATAGCAGTTCTCCCTACCTTAGTACTAACTAACTATATTAGTCCATTTTCACACTGCTATAAAGATACTACCTGATACTGGGTGATTTATAAAGAAAGAGATTTTATTGACTCAACTCTGCAATAGCTTGGAAACTTACAATCATGGCAGAAGGGGAAGCAGGCATGTCTTACATGGTGGCATGTGAGAGAGAGAGAGAGCATGTGAGAGTGCAGGAAAATTTATCATTTATAAAACCTTCAGATCACCTGAGAATTCACTTACTATCAAGAGAACGGCATGGGGGAAACCTTCTTCATAATCCAATCACTTCTCTCTCTCAACACATGGGGATTATAGATCCCTCCCTTGACATGTAGGGATTACAATTTGAGATGAGATTTGGGTAGAGACACAGAACCAAACCATATCAGCTTTGTAGATGCACTATGAGATTGGCTGATATCTCTGATTGAACACTGCAACTGGTAGGAACAGAGGTACCACCAATACCCATGAGCTGGTTAATTTCTTTATTTCTACCTTACACGTGGGTGGTAAAATTGTACCATTTTCCCAGTGTTCTCTGTAAGGTGAGAATGGAGTGAGTGTCCTGGGAAGTGCCTCAGAATGCTAGGGAAGCTGGTTGCCTGCCTCATGTTCTCTTTTTTTTCTGTAGAAACTGTAAGCCTAGGGAAATATTCTCTGTCTGGCATTGTACCAACTTGGGGAAAAAGGAGAGGGTGGTATGATTGAACTGAGACCATTCTTCTTGCTCTCTAATTAGGATTATTTTTTCCAGTTCTGTGTACTGTGCAAGTATCTCAAGCTTGCTTCCAGTTTTTGGGGTTTCCAAAGTGATGTTCTTGTCTGTGAATAGTTGGTAGTCAAATTTTCTGTAGGGGAAGGGAAGGCTAGACTTCCTATTCCATCACCTTGCTGATGTCACTCCTGAAAAACTATTTTAAGTGGTAAAATGGTCTTTGCCTATATCATATTAATGTTCACATCTAAATGAGATTCCTCAGCCTTGTAGTTTGATGACTGATATGGTTTGGCTGTGTCCCCACACAAATCTCATTTTCACTTGTAGTTCCCATAATTCCTATGTATTGGGGGAGGGACCCAGGGGAGATAATTGAATCATGGGGGTGGTTTCCCTCATCCTGTTCTCATGGTAGAGAATAAGTCTCACGAGATCTGGTGGTTTTATAAAAGGGGTTTCCCCTTTGGCTTGGCTCTCATTCTCTCTTGCCTGATGCCATGGAAGACATCCTTTGCTCTTCCACCATGATTGTGAGGTCTCCCCTGCCATGTGGAACTGTGAGTCAAAACTCTTTCCTTCATAAGCAACCCAGTCTTGGGTATGTCTTTCTTAGCAGCATGAGAACAGACTAATACAATTACCATTTGGTGAGTTTTAAAAATTCGATAAGTTCAATCCAAATGCTGTGTTTATAGTCAATGGTATAAAACTCCTAATTGCATATTATATTTATGAAGAACTTTAATAATTTTATGTGTATAAAAGATATAATTAACAAATTTTTATATAGAAATGAGCAGAAGCACACCAAACTCCAAAGGGCCTCTGTAAGTCCTCAGTCCTGTAGATTTCAAAAAATTGCTGTTTTAATTAGGATGAAAAGCTACTTTATTAATTTCTGAGATCAAGTAAAATTTATTATTTGTACAATTTAACAGCTTCTTATCAGATCTGTCAAAATGAGAGAGATCTGTCTGAGTCTGCTTGGACTGCCGTAACAAAATAGCATAGACTAAGAGGCTTAAGCAACAGAAATATATCTTCTCACAGTTCTGAAGGCTAGAAGTACCAGGTCAAAGTCTGGCAAGGTTTCTTTTTCTGGCTTGTAGACAATGGCTGCCTTCTTGCTGTTTGCTCACATGGTCTTTCCTTGGTGTGTGTGTGTGTGTGTGTGTGCGTGTGTGTGTGTGTGTGTGAGAGAGAGAGAGGGAGAGAAAGAGAGAGAGATTGTTGCCTCTTATTATACTGACACTAATCTCATCATGAGGATCCGAACTTCATGATTCATCTGACCCCAATTTCCTCCTAAAAGCACCATTTCTAAATACTGTAACATTGGGGGTTAAAGTTTCAACATATGAATTTGGATGGGGCAAAAACATTTGTTCCATCATAAGGTCCATAGAGTTAGTTTCCTTCAAAGAAAATACTCATAGCACAATTAGATTTTGGGTAAATACTACTCACTTATTTGGTCACAGTGCTGACATGCCGGACCTACTGTTGAGTCTCATACATAATGGAACTGTTAACTAGGACTCCGTTGGCCAAAACTCAATGTATCCAATTAGAATATAGAATTGGAACTGGAATTTATTAAACCAAAATTGCGTATTACTTATTTTTAAATATAACCCCTCATTCAACATGAGTAGACAGAGTGATTAATATGTTAAATATTCCCTTATAAATGCTGAAATACAAAGAATTAGAGGGTCCATTTTTTGAGAAGCTCACAGTCTAGTTGGAGAAACAATTATAAAGAAGAAAAACATTAATAATACATGTTAGAATAGCTGTAAGATCAGGGTATTATGGGAATTGAAAGGGAGAGTTTAGAGAAGTTATAGAGTTTACAGAGAACCCTCTGAATCAGGTCCACTGTGCACTGGTTACCAGCTTCTCAGAGTCTGGCCAGGCAGAACAGGCCCCCACACAAGAAGTTACATGAAGTGTATTTATTTTTTACAGATAGGCAGCAAGGAACAACAGAGATTTAGGGTTCACTGTGAGCCAGTTCCCCAACACCCAGGACAGCTTCCCAGGGAAGACGGAGTCTCGTCTGCCTGTGCTCCACTTGTACAGCAGGTAAGGAGTCCCAGAGAGCAGTCACCCTTGGTTTTATACTCTAGGACAATGTGACACACCAGACTAAAGTGCTGGAGAACATCCTGTTTCTAGGGGTTGTTAAAATAGAGCCAGTGCTGCTCTGGCCAGTCCTCCCTTATCTCAGAATGTTGTATTCTCAGCACATTCTATAATTACCCTTGAGAACTAAAAGCGAGAAAGATGAGGTGGGAGGAGAACTGCCTTAGTCCTTGGCTATACGGAGAAATTTTCTACATACTCTTTGTGATAAAGAAGAGCACATGCACAGCTGTTTTATCCCTTCCTCTCTGGGGACAGTGCTTTATCCATGATAGTATTAGGCCGATTCTTATTATTAAGAGGTCAAGACAGAAGAATGTCTCTGGCCTTCAAGTCACACTGCTTCTTTCCCCATTACTCAGCCTCACCCTGTGCTATGAGGGGGCCTTGTATATGCCCAGTTCTCACTGTCAAGCTCTGTTTCACTAACTCTGCCTTGAACACAATTAGCAGTGTTTGCTCTCCTAAGGACCGACAAGGAAGAGAACTGGACAGACTCTGACAATGAGTTCAGGTGATTTCTGCAGAAAAGTTTAGATAGAGTCTTGGCACCAAAAAAGATTGAGGCTGGGTCAGTCCTTCAGAAAGTGCAGACTCTTTAACCCATAGGGTAACTTATACAAGGACTAAGAAGGATCTGAGTGTCTCTTCCAAAGCATGAACTTCCATTGTACTGCTAACTGTGCAATAAATCATTATTTCACTATTGGTTATAGTACAGTCTTCCTTAGTTAAGAAAAGAAGGAGCTTAGGGCTGCAGTCAGTTCTGATTGTCTTACTTTGGGAAATTCACTTCTCTCTTGGAAGATGATCAACTTTCTCAGAGCTGAGGGCTTGGACTAAATCATTTTCAGACTTTGAAGCCTGACTTTCTTTTAACTTTGTAATACGTAGAAACCACTAATTCCCTCTGAGCCTTACTTTCTTATTTGCATTAGCAGAATTCATATTTCTACCCATTTTATATCTAAGAACAGGATAATGTAAGAAAAGTGGTTCCAATATTGTAGAGCACAATTAATGTAAAAGCTGCAATTTGTCTCAGCTCTGTAACAGCTTCAAAAGTCAAATACTGATTCTATGAAATGTTGTAGAGCATAACGAATAATATTTTGTTCTCACTGTTGATTTTGCAATACACTGGAGGAAACGTTTGCCACAGCAAAAACTATCACAACTGGTACTCCTCTTCTTCAACTCACTCCTCCCTGCCCTTCCCCACCCCATCCCTCCCTATCCATCCCTCCCCAACAACCAAACTGCTTCCGGGGGCAGGTAAAATTCCAACAAATGGGATTTTAAAACAGGCTGCTCCACTTATTCCCGTGAGAAGTAAATAACTCGCCTTATGTCTCTGATCATTAGTAAAATGGCCAGTTAAGACACACAGCACAGCATCACTATGATGCTGTAAAAATGTCTAAAATGTGTAAAAGTGATGTGGCTTTGAAACAGTAATATGACTGCTATGTGGTAAGAGCTCAATAAATGGTTGCTAATACTATTGCTTCACTTCTTTGTTTGTTTGCTCAGCAAACTACAAAAAAACTCATTTTAATAATGCCAGTCAGGCATAAAATAGTGAGTGAGAATGTCTCAATTTATGTACATATTTTCTCTCTTTTATTGTGGATAAAACTTCAAGACAAGTTCTTTTCCTCGTTGTCTCTTAATCAAACTATTCTTGCTTTATTTCAAGCATGAATGTATTCTCTTTCATCTTCAAGGGCATGAAAGCAATGAAGATAAAATGTAATTTGTTAGCAAATCCTTGAGAAAGGATTTCCCCACTATGGGGCTAATGCAGCTCTGTTGTGTCACGTGATTGACATGGATGTGCACAGGTGCGTCAAAGATTCAGTCCTCTTCTCCATGCTACCCTGGGTACTGAAATTGGACAGTGGTCAGCTGCTCATTTATTCTGTGTGTTCTGGGGCAATGTGTTTTATTTTCCAAAACTTCTTTAATATTTGAAAAACAAATAAAGACAAGTCAAAAGTAATTCTCCAAGACACCAAATCAAACATATTAATAATACCAAATTCTGAAAAGATTTTCTTGTCCTATTAAAAGATAAAATATTAGTGCTATGCAAGAAAGTATACTTCTATTAGTAACAATGACAACTGACCATCGAACAGTAATAAAGATAGAGTGCATGCATTTTTAGTTATTTAAGAAATAAAAGGGTTACCAGAATAGGTTCCTCTATGATACATACTTGTTTGTTCATTGATAATCACAATTTAAGGGCTGAATGAATTCCTGCATTCTCCAATTAGGTTAGATATGAATAATAAAGTACAAAATTCCTGTTCATATACAAGAAAGAGCCTTGACAATTCCACAGTGAACCTTTAAGCTTGAGAATTTATGATACATTTATGTGGTCTTTTGAAGACTAAACATTCTTTTATAGCATCAATATTTGACTTTTCCAGCTGGGAGGGAGCTGAGTCCAATCCAAGCTTTTGCATGAATTGTGCTTACTTAACTGATTTTTGGAACTTGCTTAACTGATTTTTCTCTCTGTGTCTCAGAACCTTGGAACCAAATAGGATTCCCCAAATTTGTTATCTGTACATGCTCATATATATTTCTAATTTAATTTTGCATATATTCATGTACATATAATTGCATGAAGGCACACATATGATTGTAATATGCACAACTGATATCACTGTTTTATATTTTTTCTGTCTTAGTTTGTATCTGCCGCTTTCATTTTCTGTCTTCTAAATTTCCCCTTTTGTTACAAACTAAACAATTCAGAATGGTAAAATAATATTAGTTTGTTTGCATGAATTACCTTGTTTATTACCCGAGTGTGTGTGTATGTGTACTTTAAAGTGCATATATATAAAATATATATATATAAAGTGCATATATATATACACACACACATATATATATATGCTCTATATGCTTTTATATACTCTGAAACTCATACACTCTTTGCTCCTTGCTTATTTTCCTTTGTGAGATCATGTTATGAACTTTTCTGCATCTTGCTTTAATAACTGCACAGTATTCAATACTTCAGTGGTGATTCTATCATAATTTATTCTAACAACCTCCCGTTGAAGGACTTGCACTGTATTTCTAAATGTTTCCCTCCATAAAACAATGTTTTAATAACAATTCCATTATCTATACCCTGACATATTTGTGTTTTCATTTTGCGGAATTGATTTTCAGAAGTGGGATTGCAGGGTCAAAGGCAATATTTACTCTTATATGTGCATAGGTGTTGCTAGACTACTGTTTAAAAACTCTGTAACAATTCAAATTTCTGTCACAATGTGTGAGGGAAATAGTATTGATAATACACAATATTGTCAGTCCTGGGAATACTGTGTATTGTAGCTCTTATATTAATAAAGTGTACCAGTATTTTAAATGTAAAGAGAGTACGTTACTGTTAATTTGATTTGCATTTCCTTGATGCTAGTGACTTGGATGTTTTTCTCACATGTGTATTGATCATTTGGATATGCTGTTTTATTTTTGGCTTCTTCACATCCTTTGGCCACCTTTTCCATTTTGTTTTCTGTATTATTTTGTACGTACATAAAAGTTCTTAGTACATAATATATATGTATATATAAAAATCTTTTATCTATATTCCATCCTTAAAGATTCATTGTCTGTTTACTGACCCTTTTTAATCACAATGTAAGTTGCCATTAAAAAGTTTCTCGTTTGTACGAAGTCAAATATATTTACATTTTCTTTTACATCTTCTGAGTTTCTTTATTTTGACTGACATCTTTTTTTAATTTCTAGATGATATTTATATTCACCTTCAATTCTTACATGATTTTTCAACTTTTATTTTTATTTGTGGGATTTATTTTTGTGTGGTTAAAATAAAAAGTAGGATCCAAAGTTGTTTTTATATGGTTAAATTTGTCATGGAGTGTCTTGTGTCAAACCCTGACAAAATGGAACCAGGAAGTCTATGAAGTTTCCACACACAAACTTCCTGTTAACAAGACCTATCACAAATAGCTCTGCTGAAACCAAAACCTTGTGCAAAAAATACTCCTACGAGGACATCTGCCCGGCAACTGCTTGCCTAACCTTGGCCTGACAACCACCCTTGTTATTGATCCCTGTAGCCAAGGATAATTGTTTCTAAACAGCTTATATACACCTATTTATTTTTCTTTTAAAAACCTTCGTCTTTCTTTACCTCCCAAAATACACCCACACATCTTCCCACTGCATTGTTTATTCCTGAAAAACTTAGTATCTTTGAAGAATCTCTCTGTTTTTTTAAGGTGATGATAAAGATTAATAGTAAGTTATTTCTACTGTTATATTTTCCACCCTGAATAAGAATACTATCTTTATTATATTAAATTATCGTATATACTGTGATTTAATTTTAACTTTCTATTTTCTTTGATTGATTCATGTATCTATTTTTATTCAAAGGATACATTGATTTGACCTCAGTATTTTTATAAATTATTATACATCTAAATAAAGCAAGTTCTTCCTTTAATGTTCTCTTGCACTAATCTCTTGTTTCTTTTGAGGAAGTTTTTCTTCCTTATAATAATTCAAATTATTATTTCCAATGGCAAAACACTATGTCACGTTACTAATTAGAATTGACATAAATTTATATACTAATCTTGTAAAAATTGACATTTCATTTAGTCTTAAAATGAAGACTATGATATGTGTCTTCTTTTGTGCAGAACTTATTTTGTATCTATAAATACATTTTTTATTTAGTGCTTCATTCAGGACTCTATACTTTAAAAATTATTTCTAGCTAGTGGATAATTTTGAATGCTAGGAAATAGAATATTTTCCCTGATTCTCTTAGTGTTTTGCTAGAAAATAGACCAACTATTGATTTTTAATACTAGAAATTTCATGGCAGAAAAATCTGAATTTTCTGGGTATACATATCATAGAGAAAAATACTTACTTTCCAATGTTTATATCAGCAATCTTATTTTTCTAAATGCATTTTCTAGAATCTGATAGGCACAATTTAAATGAAAATGGTGATAGTGGGTGTCCAGTTTCTGATTTTAATTTAAATAGTTTTAGTGTTTTATCTTTTAGGATAACAACAAATGATGACTTTTATTAGTGTTTATTACACTAAAATTTCTCATTTGTAGCTGTGATTATATGATCTTTCTTTAATTTATTGATGTACTACTAGAATAAGCTCTATCTGGTTATAGTTTATTGTTTTGCTGACAGTGTACTTGCTTCTTTTTAATAATGCCTTATTCTTGATTTGAAATTATTGCTTCTACATTCACAAAAATACTATTCTATGTTGTTCTTAATAACAATATTTTTACCTAGTTATTGTATTAAAGATGTCTTGATTTTACAAAAGGTATTGAGGATTTTTAAACATTTTCCTAGCTCCCAGGATTACTTAAAACAGTTTAATTATCTGTTCTTTTGAAACTAAGTAAAACTCAATTATTAATCCAGTAGATCCTGGTAATAGTTTCAATGAACAAAGTTTTCAAATACTTTGTAATAACTAATCTTCATATTTTGACTTATTTGAGGTTCATTTTATTTTTGCTATGAAATTTAGGTCATTATTTGCTAGGAATTATAGATTTATTTTAGGATTTCAAATTCTTTTGATAATATATCCTTTCCAATATTTACATTTATTCCATTACATTTATTGTACTCTATTCTATTGCAGCTTTTAACATTATTTATTCCAATGGCAGGCCACATACAAGACCGCCAAATGATCCCTATCTCTCAGTATTTGTGCTTTTATATAACCCCCTCCCATTGAGTATAGGATGGATCTGTGATTTGCTTTGAACATACAGAATACAGCAAAAATGATGGGTGTGATTAGATTATGAAAAGACTGTCAGACTCTCACTGGCTTCCTCTAAGGCAAGCAATCCATGTTGTAAGCAACCCTATGGAGAAGGCTGTCTGGCCAATGGCTAAAGGAAGATGCCTGTTAAAAGCCAGCAAGAAATAGAGCCCCTCAGCCAAACAAACGGAGAAGGACTGAGTGTTGCTGACAACAACATCAAGAAATTTGGAAGTGGATTATCCTCTCCTTCAGATGAGACTGCAGTCCAGATGACATCTTGATTATCACCCCACGGGAAATCTTAAGTCAGAGGCACCCATCCTAGGCCCAAATTCCTGACCATCAGACACAGGAAAATCAATGTTGGAGGAGTAACTTGTGAACTGAGAAATAGAGAACTAATACAAATCCTTTTTCCCAATAATTTTTACCATGGTTTATGTTGTTGTTTCAAATTTCTTTTCAAAATTTAGAATTTTATTTTATTACATACATTAGACAAGTCTTAATTTAGATGGATTTAAAAAAAAGAAAAAATACTTAATGTAAAAGAAGGACATAACTATGCAGACCAAACTGGTTGTGAGTTCATGAACTTGTCAGAGACCCTGGCTCTTTTGAGCTTACTCCTCTAGGTGTAGGCATCTTCTCTCCTTTTGGTACAAGTTCTACCAGGGGAAAAGGTGGGAGAAGGGCCAGAGATGTGCCAGGGACTTAAGGATATTAAATAATATTTTTATGACAGTAAATTGACTGGATATTTTGCCATGTATCTGGAAAGTAGGCAGGAATATGATAATGTTTCAGCAAAGCAGTCATATGCCCATTGCTACCATGGTAACAGATTTTGTTACCATAAAGCTGGGTTAACAAACTATGACCCATGGTCCAAACCCAGTCTATTGTCTGCTTTTATAAATAAAATTTTACTGAAACATACCCACATCTCACCATTTATTGTTTTGTTTTCTACGGCTGCTTTCACATTATAATAGCATAGATAAATGGAGGCAGACAGCATACAATCTGTAAGAAATGTATTAGCAGGCCCTTTACAGAAAATGTTTGCCAACCTCCCATATAAGAAAGGACAGAATGGATGTGGGAAGTAATTTATAAAGTCAGGACAAGAAGCATAGCAGCAGCAAATGCTTTCCATATTTGACATAATAAAAGTGCAGGGATTTCAGGTAGGTGAATTATGACACAAAGGTAATTAATCGTGTCAGTTAATAACTGCACCATAGTACTGTCCTAAGCACACATCCACATAATCTCTGTGCTATACAATGAGGAGTATCTGTTTGGCTCATGAGATGGAAGGTTGGATAGGATTCAGATAACACAGGACAGGCCCAGGCTGGCTTCCCTGCTGGTCCCTGCTAGGCCCACTCATAGGTCTGCCTGTGCAAGCTAGTACCTGGTCATCTAGGCTGGGTGTGGCTGGTGGCACTGCTTCGTGTTTGTCATCACCTTTTTCATAACTACAGTCTAGGCTGAGGATATTCTTCTCCTGGTAATGACAGAGAACAAAAGAAGAAACAAACATGAAAATCCTGCCGAGGCTTTTGCTAACATGGGTATAATATCATTTCATCTTTATTCTATTGGTCAGAGTAAGTCAAATAGACAAATCCAAAGTCAAGAGGCAGGAAGTATACCCCAAAGTGAGTAGATGCTGCTAAGTGTTGTAGCATAGGGAAGGAAAACAATGGGGTGCAGAACTGGAATTATAACACGGTCTCTGACATCACTCTGAATGGATTCTTCCCATAGGGCTACCTGGGGAGATGAGAAAATTGTCTGAAGGGTGCATTTCCTGTCCCCACAGAGCTGACCAGTGCAAAGGTGTCCATGACAGAGCAAGGGACAGAAATAGTTCTAAGGAAGCTACAGCTGTGTACACTCAAAATTTAATGTTAGAACTCCTGCCCCACAGAGAGTATGCTGACTAGGTACTGTTGGGCAAGAGAACACCACAGACAGAACCAGCTCAGTAGAATTCATTTCCCTCTTCTCTAATCTTTGCACCTCCTCCTGCCCCACCCACCTGCTGCATGAAGTATGGAGGCAGATATACATGAAAAATAAATACTGAAGGTACAACTATTTTATTTCTCCACCTTATATTCCTTAACTTGGGGAAAAGGAGATATTGTGAACTAGATTGAAGATTGAAATCTTGGATATTCCTGAATCCAGAGTGTTTTCATTTCTAAAATGACCTGTGTTCTTATGACTAAAAAGTGATTGGGAAACCTATGGGCTATGTCTAAAATACCTTCAACAGGGAATGGAGGGAGAACCTATGCAACATGTCTCAGGACAGCAGTTGGTGAAGAAAAATAAACTTTAAACAATTTTTGTTGTTATTATTTTCATAAATCTTTGAATTAAGTCTCTTTATTAAATGAATTATAAGAGTAAATCTACCATGGTAGTCTGTGATCTGTTAGAAGAAAAATTTAAGTAGACTCGATGATTCAACAACAAATGGCATTTAAAGTATGAAGCTTCAGTGCACGTTTTTTTTTGTTGTTGTTGTTATTAATGTGTTACTGGCATGAACTCTGAAAGACTGACGTGGAGTTCCTCCCCTACCTCAAGGCAGCAATTTTAGGATCTTCCCATGTTATTCTAAGAGGGCTATTGAAATAACATAACTTAGAGCTGTCCCTGTGAGATCAGAAGGACCAGAAGATTAATCCCAATGTGAGCTTCTGTGTATCCTCGGTATTGTGGTTACCTTTGGTCTCATTTGATTGATGGTTCAACAATGAACTGATAAAAATGCAACCTTGGCTGAGTCTGAATTGTCATTCTCATGAATTATTCCCCTGTGTTAGCCCTGTGGCTAGTCAGGCTTAATCCCCAGGTCACCATGTTATGGTAGGATTAAACTGACAACAGAGGGGATAGAATTTGGATTATTATTATCATCACCACCACAATGAGTCAGATCTGTTCATCTTTGATCACAATTTGGTGACAGGATGAGTAATTTCATTTATAAACATCCCTAAGCAAAGCCATCAGGGGAAAGACAGTAGAACTATATCAAAATTATTAGACATACACAGAAAGTATTCAGTAAGTTGATGTGGTTTGGCTGTGTCCCCACCCAAATCTCATCTTGAATTGTAGCTCCCATAAAACCCATGTGTCATGGGAGGGATCTGGTGGGAGTAATTGAATCATGGGGGTAGTTATCCCCATGCTGCTGTCCTCGTGATAGTGTATGAGTTCTCATGAGATCTGATGAGAAAAGGGCTTTTCCCCTGTTGGCTCAACACTTCTTCTTCTTGCCACCATGTGAAGTAGGATGTGTTTTCTTCCCCTTCCTCCATGATTGTATGTTTCCTGAGGCCTCCTCAGCCCTGTGGAACTGTGATCCAATTAAGTGTCTTTCCATTATAAATTACCCCACCTCAGTATTTCTTCATAGCAGCATGAGAATGAAATAAGACAGTAGTGATGGCTGAGTTGAGGAATAAATGAAGGATCCAAATATGACGTTAGACTCTGTCTTTTCTCCACCTCAGTCCTCTGTACAATTCCAATTTTCTTCTCTGAAGGAAAGGGAATAAGGATGGAATTATAAACACATCTGAAATTCTTATTCGTAATTTAAGTAAAGCTTCTCATGGGTCTCTTCTTTATTTCTTCACATTGACACTCTACTCACCCCCTAATTCCCATTTCAGTCTCTCCTCCTTCCCACTTATCCTCTTCATAGCACCTAAATATATAGAGTGTTGTAGGGAAGGAATAGAACTAATCACTTTGAATGCATTACCTCATTAAGCCTCATAATACAATTATATAGAAGCTATTATTATGCACATTCTATAGATCAAGAGAGCGGAGTTAGAATATTTAAGCAGATTTCCCAAAGCCTATTCTTAGGTCTAGGAGTTTGGATTGGTTCTACCCCTGATACACAACCATATTGGTATATTGGCTTCAAGTATGGTTCATACAGTGGTATATGTTCAGCTTAAAATCCTTCTATTTTCTTCTCTTCAAAAAGAGCAACAAATCATCAATAGAACAGTTCAGATGCTTACTACTTCCCTTTTACAGTAATTAAGTGCAGTGCACAGAGTGGTACCAAGGAAGAGCTGGGGCAGAGATGTGATGTGTGACCTATCACGATTTCAATCGTCCCTTCCCATATTTTTATATGAACATTCAGCATTTTTAACACTGTGTATATGCAGCTTCAACTCATTCTCTCAGGTACCTGCTGTTAAAACTCTCACACATTTCACTGCTACCATTGCATGTTTTTTCAACCTAGAACCTTGGCATTTCTTGTTTTGTAGTCACCTAATTCCAACCTCGACTGCAGCCATCCCATGGTTGTCTTCCCTCTGTGTGATTCTGTCCTCACATAAGAATTTCCACTTCTTATAAGAACACCAGTTATATTGGATTAAGGGCCCATACTGTTCCAGTATTATCTCATTTTAACTAGTTAGAGCTACAAGGTCCCTCTTTCCAAATAAAGCAACATGCACAGAGACTACGCGTCAGGGCTTCAACATATCTTTTTGGGTAACACATTTAGCACATAGTATAGATGCTAGAAAATTATTTTTTTCTCTATAATTTTACACAGTTTTAAAAAAAGGGGTTCAGGCCAAATGATCTCTGACTTCTTTTACAATTCTAATAGGCCTTGTCCCTGAAAGCTTTTTTTATTGGCATTTTTTATAATTTGAAGAATTTGTTTTAATTGAAAGGACTGGAAAAAAAATTACTGTATTCTCATGCGTACACACACACAAAGATTCAGTGAGCATAGCTTGAAGCATGCACAGCACTGATGGGAACAGAAAAGAAAAATATTTAAGATCCGTCAAGGTCACAGGGGACTGCCAGAGGCTTATATACTGCCTTGTTTCTAAGGTCAGCTGCTAGACAGCTTACAAGAGTTTTGTTTGCACAAAGATTAATTTAGAGATTAACCAGGTGACCTTGCGAAGCTCCTGAAGAAGGCTTTTCATGAAAGCCCATAAAACATATTTGTAGGTGGTTGTTAATATTTATTGAAGTGTGTGTGTGTGTTCGTGTGTGTATGTGTGTGTGTCCACATTTTACCATAGCCCAAGATCCTGAGGAATAAATTTCCATCATCCTTTAGCTTTCTTCTTCTTGAGATCTTATTATCTGAATGACTTTATACATACTAAAAAGTAATCAAAAAATTTCAGGAGTGCAGCTACCTCTGTGTTGGATGGTGACTGTATGGTGTTTTAAACATTTGGCCATAGATAATGAAAGCTTATTTATCTCAGTTCTTTCGATGAGTATTAGACTGGAGCATGACTGAATCTGATGTGTGCTCAGAACACAAATGAAAGCCAAAAGTTTACAACAGGATTTTTCATCCCATTATAATGATGTTTTCTTCATGGAAGGATGTGCAGGAGAATTGAATGAGAGGAAAGAGGAGGAAGAACTAACATTTGTTCATACTAGGATTAGGGGAAAGCACTGATACTTTTAGTTTTTTTGTGATAAGTGTTTCGTACGCTCATCTCATTTTCACCTATGGGTACATTCTCTGATTGTTCTCATGTTATCAAAAAATAAATTGAGGCTTCTAAAATTAAGTCATTTGCTTCCGATTAAACAAGTGATAGGATATGGAGCCAAAATTTGGACTAAGTCATGTGCCACTGATCATACAGGCGGTAGAAAATTGAGCAAAAATTTGGACTAAGATTTGTTAGACCCCAAATCCTTAGCAGACTTTTCTCTAGGCCACAGTTGTATGTGTGTGTCTGTGTGTGTGTGTGTGTGTGTGTGTGTGTGTGTGTGCAGGAAGAGACAGAGGCAATCATTGTCATCCAAAGGAAGCCAATGTGTCAGGAATGTTGTCAGGACACTTTACATTTTCCTGTTTATTTCTTGCTCTAAAGATTCTTCATCTCAGATTGCTCCTTGTGAAATTATGAGGTGTTTAAAAGTATGAGTCTGTTGACCTGGATAAAAAAAAATGCATGGGTAGTGGGTTATAACAAAGAAGTTATTGACATTTGTATTAGTCAAATTAGTCAAATTCCATTGGTTTCAAAAAACAGAACCAATAGAATAACTACAGCTACAGAGGGAGAAAGAGAAAGAGAGAGAAGGAAAGAGAGAGAGGGGGAGAGAAAGAGAGATTATAGGAAATTGGTTCAAATGATTTCAGGGTCTGACAAGTCCCAAGATCTGCAGGGTGAGTCAGCAAGCTGGATTACCGTGAAAGCTAGCAGTGTAGTTCCAGTTCCACTCAGAGTCTGAAGGCCTAAAAACCAGATGGTGTAAGCTGATGGCATAGTTCCAGGCTAAAAGCTGATAAGCTTGAGACCTAGGGAAAGCCAATGTTTCAGTTTGTGTCTGGATGCAAGAAGAAACTGATGTAACAATCTGAGTGCCACCAGGTGGGATAGACTGTCTTTCACTTAAGGTAGACTCAGACTATATTCTTTTCAGACCTTCAACTGATTTAATGAGGACCACCCACATTAAGATAGTAATTTGCTTTATTCAGTCTACAGGTTAAAATGAGAATATCATCTCAAAACACCCTCACAGAAGCATCCTGAATAATGTTTCACCAACTGTCTGGGCACCTTGTAGCCCATTCAAGTTGACACATGCTTATGATTTACATATTTATGTCCCGTCAACATACATATTTTGAAATCCTAACTGCCACATTGAAGGTTTTACAAGGTGGAATAATTAGGAAAGTAATTAGGTCATGAAGTCAGAACCTTTATAAATGGGACTAGTGCCCTTAAAAATAGGTTCAAAGGAGCTCGTTCACCTCTTCCACTAGGTAAGATACAGTTAAATCTGCATCTATGAGGGAATGGGTCCTCACCAGACACAAAATATATCTGAGTCTGGATCTTGGACTTCCAAACTTCCAGAAACATGAGAAATAAATATACGTTATTTATAAGCCACCCAGTCTAAGGTATTTTGTTATAACAACCTGAATGGACTAAGATAACGTATAAAATTAACCATCATAGAATTGGTAAACCTTTCTTTTCAAAAAATGACGTTCATTCAATTTGTTAACACAGATAATCTTATTTAGACCTAAAGAAAAAATAGTTATAAATTGAATATTAAGAAATATCTTACACTGTTTCTGCAACAAAGCTGCCTTTTCCTCTTTGCACCTAATTAGAGTTCTCTGAAATTCTCTGTAAGCATTATTTCCCACTGTTTTTTTCCCACACATGCAATGTGCTAAAAATGCCAGAACACTCATATGCCCTGAACATCCCCATGCAGCCATGCACTCATATGCCCTGAGCCTTTCATCGTGCTGTGTCCTGTGCATAAAGAGACCTTTCCTGCCCCCATTCTCTATCTAAAAGAAATCTGCCTGATTTTCAAAGGCCAATACATATATCACCTCCTTTGTGAAGTGTTTCCTCTGTCCTTGACCAACAAAATTGTCCAGTCCCTCTACTTGATCAGAGAGTACTGTTCATACTACTAGCACAATGTCTGCCCTGACTCTTAGTTGTAAGGAGGCACATTGTCCATAGCTCAACCTATCAATCAATAACAGCCAGCCTGACCACTCCAGCTCCCTTGGCAACAACCCTTCAGTGCTTTTTTACTTTGTTCCCAACGTGCTTCCTTTGATTCATGTCTCAACCTGCCTCTGCCTTTGGCTTCTGCTTCTCCTTTGTACATTTTGTATTGAGATTTGTCCTTGCTGATTTTGGCTTCTGAGGTACCCCAAAGAGTCATTATTTTATATATTGCTACACTATTCAAGAATGCTTTGAGCAAGACCCTCCCGGAGGGCCAAATTCTCAGTTGGGGCCTTCTTCACCCCTCTATGTGTGAATTCATTCACAGAGAACTCATCACTCTAATCTCTATTTATGTAATTATTTCTCTCCTGTTAGACGGTGAGCTGTTTTTTGTGTAGAATTTATATCGCATTCATCTATGTTTCTCTTGTGATTTCCTTATGTTTATCATAATTTTTATGCTTAATAAATATGTGTGGCCTGGATTAGATTAAGTGTATTTTTATCTTGAGTGTCCTCTTTACTCCTCTCAGCTTCTAAATTCTTGCTTTCCTTTCAATGCTAATTCTAGTCTTCTTGGATTACCCCAGCTGGAGGTGATTTGTTCTGAACTGGATTCCTATCTCTCATAGAAAGCAAATGTTACTCCTTTAACTGACTGTGGCCTTCTGCTTTATCTCTCTGTTGAGTGGAAAAACTCCATGAGCAATCACTGTTTCACTCCTTTCATGTATGTATACAACACTTACGAGAGTACATAATTTACATAATACTTTTGGACTGAAAAACTGGTTTTACTTTGCTTTCTTTAACTTATAGGCCATGCTGAATGCAGATAACCCACAGTAATAACTGGTATCCAACCACTCCTTATTTACTTATTCATAATCTTATTTACTGTTTGAGTCTGTTACTCAGGTATTTGTGAGCATCTTTTAGGATAGGGGAAATAGTTAATCATATCTGTAAACCCGGCATTTCACATGTGCCTGGAACTGAACAGTGACTAGGTCAAGACTGAATAAAGTAATGATTGATATATTATGACAATCTTCAAGTTGCTTCTTAATTACATAATAAAGGAGGAAAGATAATTCACATTCATTGAATATCTGCTTTGTTAAATAAATCCTGTATTTTATATTTATTATTTCATTCAAAGCTTAGAGAAGGTTACTCAATATTTCTTGGCCTCAGCTTCATCTGCAAATTGGGGATGCTATTAATACTTACCTCTTGGGACTGTGAGGAATAACTGAATTAATAAATGTAAAACCACTGAATTGTATACTTTAAAAGGGTGAATTTTGTAATGTGAATTACATCTTAATAAATATTAATTTTTTAAAAGCCCATGGATATGCTGAAAATAATACTTTCATATTTCATAGGCAGACCCAATGTCAGAAGTCATAAACTCTATAAAGTGCAATCAGGGGAGCTCTGACACTGGTGCCTCTTTCTTTTTCCCATCATCTGAGCTCCAGCATGGCCATCCTTACTTTTGTTCTTTCCCTCATTTAGCCTGTTGGTCACTATCAGATCTTACCAATTTTATGTGTACTATTTTTTTTTTAAAGCTGTTTACTCAAACACTGATCTCATCTAAGTCTAGGGCCTCATCATGTTTTCCAAACAGTTACCGTAACCTCCTCACTGCCTCTTTCCTTTCATACAATTCTCCAAAGGGCTGCTAGGTTATGCTTCTGCAAGTGAAAGACTTATACCTATTCTGCTAAAAATCATTCAATTACTTCCCATAGCCTGTAATACAGGTTCCTTTTTTGGTTTGTTAGTTTATCCTGACATTCTAGGTCATTTTAAATCTAACTGAAAACTATACTGCAATTAAAAATAAAATATTTGCACCTGCTAAGTGTCAAGTACTCACTCAGAACTAGAGACAGAGAAATAAATGTGCCCAGCCCAGGACCAAAAAGTCTCAGACACCTCTTCTGGGCCTTCTCTGTCCAAACACTTCACTTTTGCTAAAATGCCCTCAAAATTCTCCCCTATTTTTTTCTTTTTCTGTCTCTCTTATTTTTTTATTATTATTATTATTATTTTTTGGCCTTCCCCAGCATGGAGTGGCCAGGCTCCATCTCTAACTACAGAATCCTACCTTTCCTCAGAATTCCACCTCACATTCTGTCTCTTCCTTTAAGGCTTCCTTAACCAATAAGTTGGAAGTGGATTATCTTTTGTCTGTTCTTTACAACAATTATTGAGAGACTTATAAAAATGCCACGTTTTCTCTAAGAAGTGACACAGTTTCCTAGGTTTAAGATATCTATGTGGACTCGCTCACACTGCTCCATACACAGCCTAAATGCATTCCTGTCACTATTCCACTTGGATTGTAAATATTTTGTATTCCCAGAATGATGGCACTCTTTTCATAGAGTAATCTCCTGCATGGGTTTATTTTTAATCTTTCTTCACAGGAAAGCACCATTGTAGCATTGCTGATTTATTGTGACATTTTTGCTACTTCCTTGTTGAGAATATCAGTTTTACTATCCCATAGAAAAATTATTGAGAGAAACAAAAGGGAAAACTCAAGGAACTGAAATGAGGGAGTACTGCGAACTCTGGCTCCCTGATTTTAAGCATACAATTTTTAAAACTCAATGTTGACCGGGCGCGGTGGCTCACGCCTGTAATCTCAGCACGTTGGGAGGCCGAGGCGGGTGGATCACAAAGTCAGCAGATCGAGACCATCCTGGCTAACACAGTGAAACCCCGTCTCTACTAAAAAATACAAAAAAATTAGCCGGGCGTGGGGGCGGGCGCCTGTAGTCCCAGCTACTCAGGAGGCTGAGGCAGGAGAATAGTGTGAACCAGAGAGGCAGAGCTTGTAGTGAGCCTAGATCGCGCCACTGCACTCCAGCCTGGGTGACAGAGCGAGACTCCGTCTCAAAAAACAACAACAACAACAACAAACAAACAAAAAACTCAATGTCGAGTGGTTAACCTGATGGAAAAAATTATTGTCAGATTTCTTGTACAGCTATCATAAATGCAAAACGTAACCACCCAATTATACTGAACACTTCATTTATATTGAAACAGTTGATATTTATATTACTACTAAAAGGTAAAATTTATTTGCTACATCTTACGGATGCAGAAACGGAGTTTCAGAGATGTTAATAACTAAGTTCATAAAGAAATGTACAGATTCAAGGTCACTCAAAATAGAGTCGAATAGTTTACATGTTATTCATTATGACCATGTTTTGACTCTGAACTGGTTTTGTAATCTGTACTAATACAATAATAAAAACAACTACAACTGATAATATACATTTTCTAAAGTAGTCGTTTGCATATATTTTCCTAAGCACTTGTCATGGACTCATTTAACATCACATTATGGGGCATATCTTCATACTGGAAATATATCCTCATACAAATGGAGAAATTCATATATCCATTTTGCAGGTGGGAAAGTAAGAGGTGATGTGACTTGCCAAAGGTTATATGAGTTCAGTTCATCACCTCGGCTCCAGAAACTATGCCACTATTCATCATTCTAAACTGACTGAGGGTTTTGTAGTAAGTTATCTGTATTTACGTATCATATAGTATAATATAGATTAGTATAGTATAGTATAGTATAGTATAGCATATACTATAGATGTGATTTTTAACATCTTTTCTATTTCCATTTAAATTAAGGAAACTACATGAAAAAAAGTCAATACATTTAATATGTCCCTGGGACTTGTAAATTTATACTTTTGCTGGTAGTATTTGTCTTTTTCTTTCCCTTTCTCTTTTAATCTTTTATGTTTTTACTTACATATTTTGAATATTTAATATAGAAAGGTTTCTATATTTTATGTATAAGACCACTTTCCCCAATTCTATATTTTCAAATTTCTCTTTCTTACAGAATAGTATCTGCCCTTCTCTTTACATAGACACTTCTGTTCTATCATCATAACTACTGGATATAAGATTACTGTAATTGTTGATACAGGAGCTCTAAAACATATCATAACATAACATTTATGATTTCTTTTCTAATTGTGCTATTATTGGGACATCTGGATTTCTAATAGGGCCTTTTCATTCTTTGGTATGGATTTTCCTGTTAGAAGTCTAACTTATTTGTCTTGGAAGTACATGGCTAAAATAAAAATGATACACAGAGATATAGATTCATATTTCAGACCAGACATTCATATTTTGGACCATACCTAAACACATAAAATTGAGCAATAGAAAAGTAATAGGAGCAATGATGTGGCTGTATTAACTTCCTGAAGAGGTGGGAGGAAATAATTACCTTAAACAATTGACAAGTATCAGAAATGCAGTCTACTTCTTATCGGGAACACTGAAAAACAGAAACAGTAATGACTCCAATTTCTGAAAAAAAGTATCTCTAACCTACAATTCTAGATCCAAACTATTAAGTGTAAGAGGAGAACACATTTATCAGATATCCGGAGTATCAAAAAATTATGTGCTATATGCCTTTTCTCAAGATATTTCCAGATACTATATTCTACCTCTACCAAAAGGAGAAATAAAACCAAATATAAGAAAACATAGGATCTAGGAAGCAGAGACTCAAACAAATTAGAAATGGAGAATCCACAAGGAAAAGGTGAAGCAAGATTGTAGATAATTGTTCTGCAAAGGCCTAGAGAACAGTCAGTGCATATGGAATGAGTTCAAAATGCACTGGAAATGCTTTCCAAAGAAATCATATAGATAAAGTAATGTTTTTGGATTTAGGTAAAGAAAACTGTACACACTTTAAGAAGTATTGCGGTTAACATAGACTTAAAAATACAGAAATAAGCAAGGTCAATAAATAGGATAATTATTATCTCTGAAATAGCATTCAAAATACAGCAAAACATTTCACAGGAAATGAATGATAATCATAATATTCTATATATCTTAGCCATGAACAACATTTACCTACTCATTATAACTTACCTATTGAATATTGATTTAATAAAAATAATAGTATGATTGTATTAGGATCATAGTATTAAGAGACGTGGAGAAAAATTGCAAAATATCAACTAAAGGAATTGAAAGCAGTTGCCACTGGGGAACGGGAACATGGTTTGTGCATGTTGGACCATCATGTCAGCATGGTGAACTGCTGACTTTTTTAACAGGCACCTGTAGAACTATTCAATTTGTTTTTTCTTTAAACTATGTGCTTACGTAATGCTGGTTAAATTTTTGAAAAACACCAAATACTGCATAAATTAAGCATGTATTTGAAAATATTACTCCTCTTTATTTGCTGTTATTTGTAGACACACAGGCACATGGAAATGGATTTCCATGACCTTATTTCTGGGACTAATTAAACATTCTCTAAGTCCGCTGATTACCTTTGAGCTTTGTAGTGAGAGATCAGTTAGAGGAGAGAACGGCGCTTCCCTCTTAGACTGCTTCATTTCCGTATTGTTTACAGTCACATCACGAGTTTATGCTGCTACCGCCTGTTCCAGAGGAGGGGCAGATGATCTTCCATGGCATCCTTTCTCTGTTAATATTTGGTGAAAGAGTAGAATCTTTGAGGCATGAAAGAAGGCCAGAGGTTCTACACCAAATGCCAGTTTATGTTCCAGTGTTGAGCAACCTAATTCCTATTCCATATTCTAACCAAAACACAAAATGCAGGCATGTGCAAGACACACAAAACATTGTATTGCCTTTTTTTTTTTTTTTGTCATGGCTGTATTTTTTTCTTTCATTACAATACATTGAAATGTAAATGTCTGTATTTGGAAAACTGGGTATCATTTTAATTATTCTTGGTCTGAAAAGAGCACAAAGCACAAAGAGAAAAGTACTCTGGGGAAAAATTAGAATTAATAAGGGCAAGGTGTGTTTACAATACCCTTTCTGGCAGTTCTCACGAAAGCTGATGATTCTCTCACTCATGTCTTCAATAGAAGTATTTTCTTTTTTTCAACCAGTGAGTCGGGGAGGGAGAAAATACCCATAGAAAAATAAACTTGGTAAAGTGATAAATCCTTTGTAATATTTTAGGAGAAAAATAGAAAAATAAAAGAAAAACTGTAAATAGTTCTTACCTATCTTTTGCTGAACTGTGAAAAAAAAATCAATGCTGTAAGATCTCAACATCAAGTGTGAATGCTTGAGGTGGTTGTTAGGGTTTTCAGTTTGGAAGTAGAAGTGGTCAGTAAAGATTCGTAGATTTCTCTTCTTCATTTAAATGTGAGGGGACATGTTGCTCTGAAAACAACAAGCCCATCTGGGGCTTTAGGACAATCAGAAAAGAACAGTACCATTTAGATAGGTAGAACAGTTCTTTTTGGTAGAAAAAAATAATATTTTCTGAACTAAAAATAACGAAATTAGCTTTTTAGTAAGTGGTGACCTACTGCCTTCAAAATCAGACGTGTGACACCTTCATCAAATATATGTATATTTAAATGTAAGATTATATTTTTATTTTTAAAATCTTTTTACTTACAAAGGGATGAAAAGCAATGGTTATTAAGGACTTACACTGTGACAATGGCTTGCATATATAATATTTAAATCCTTTTAACAGACATTGGTTTTCTTACTCGTTAAGCAAGCATGGATTGATAACTTCATCACTCTGTTGCCAAGATAATTACAAATTGAGCCCTGCTTTTTATGCACTTAGAATCTATTAGACAAATGGAGAACAGAAAGCAACAATTATTGAAATGTTGCTATGGTTTTTATCAATTCTACATTTTATAATAATTATATAAGAACAATATTGTGATTTCCATTTATATTTATGTATGAAGATTCAAAACAGAAAAGTGAAATGACCTGTACGTGATTATACAACGAATGTGCTATGAAGCCACAACTCAAGCACAGGCACATCTGAATCCACACTCAAGAGCTCTCTGTTAGATCTGGTGTCTAAAAGACACCAAGAAGAGGGTCCAAGAAGAGGTAGCCTGTAAGGTATGGAAATAGACAATCCTTGACTTTAAGGAACTTGTAGATCTCAGCTAACAAGGTGGATATAAATCCACAATTGAGAGAGTGATTAAAATTACAATTAAAAGTACAACCTTATGTTTCATAGTGCTGTAGACAGAATGTTTGTATCCTCCCAAAATGAATATGCTGAAACCTAATCCCCAATGCATTGGTATTAGGAGGTGGGGCCTTTGGAAGCTGATTAGGTTATGAGGGTGCAGCCCTGATGAATGGAATTAGCGCCCTCGTGAACGACACTCCAAAGAGTACTGTTACCTCCTCCACCGTGGAAGGACTCAGCAAGATGGTGCTGTTTATGATCCAGGAAGCAGGAACTCTCCACACACCAAATCTGCAGGGCCCTTGACTGTGGAGAAATAAACTTTGGTTGCTTATAAACCCCCTAGTCCAGGGAATTCTGTTACAGCAAGGGCTGAAACACATAGCATACACCAAAGAATCACTGGTGATGGAATCTGTTTCATTACCTAAGAAAGCATAAACAGCAAGAGTTAGTAGCACAACATAGAATGAGAAAACAAAATGACACTATACAATTAGATTTAACAAACATTTAATTGTCTATGTCTGTCTCTAGGGCAGTATGGCCATTTTCATGATATTGACTCTTCCTATCCATGAGCATGGAATGTTTTTCCATTTGTTTGTGTCCTCTCTTATTTCCTTCAGCAGTGGTTTCTAGTTCTCCTTGAAGAGGTCCTTCACATGCCTTGTAAGTTGTATTCCTAGGTATTTTATTCTCTTTGTAGCAATTGTGAATGGGAGTTCACTCATGATTTGGCTCTCTGTCTGTTATTGGTGTATAGGAATGGCTGTGATTTTTGCACATTGATTTTGTAATTTGAGACTTTGCTGAAGTTGCTTATCAACTTAAGGAGTTTTGGGCTGAGGCGATGGGGTTTTCTAAATATATAATCATGTCATCTGCAAACAGAGACAATTTGACTTCTCTTCCTATTTAAATACAGTTTATTTCTTTCTCTTGCCTGATTGCCTGGCCAGAACTTCCAATACTATGGTGAATAGGAGTGGTGAGAGAGGGCATCCTTGTCTTGTGCCAGTTTCCAGCATTTGCCCATTCAGTATTATATTGGCTGTGGGTTTGTCGTAAATAGCTCTTATTATTTTGAGATACAAAATCCATAAATACCTAGTTTATTGAGGGTTTTTAGCATGAAGGAGAGTTGAATTTTGTCAAAGGCCTTTTCTCCATCTATTGAGACAATCATGTGGTTTTTGTCATTGGTTCTTTTTATGTGATGGTTTACGTTCATTGATTTGCATATGTTGAACCAGCCTTGCATCCCAGGGATGAAGCCAACTTGATTGTGGTGGACAAGCTTTTTTTTTTTCTAAGTATTCCTATCAGTTCTTTTTAAAACATTCTATAAATGTCATACATTGTATGACAGTATTAAATATTTAAGAAACAAAATAAATTATCCATAACCATATTTCTCTATTGCTATTTAACATTTCCAGCAAATTGCTACATAAATATAAATAGGTCATGATTCCTGCCCTTGAGAACTAATGCTCAGGTGCAGAAGACAGGCAAACAGATAATATAAAGAAAACTGGCCAGGTAAGGTGGCTCACATCAGTAATCCTAGCACGTTGGGAGGCCAAGGTGGGTGATCACCTGAAGTCAGGAGTTCGAAACCAGCCTGGCCAATATGGCGAAACCCCGTCTCTACTAAAAATACAAAAATTAGCCTAGCAAAGGAGCCTGTAACCCCAGCTACTCAGGAGATTGAAGCAGGAGAATCACTTGAATGCAGAGGAGGAGCTTGCAGTGAGCCAAGATCGCGCCACTGCAATGCAGCCTGGGTGACAGAGCAAGATGCTGTCTCAGAAAAAAAAAAAAAGAGAGAGAGAAAATAATATGGTTATTGCAATGATAAGACGTATAGAAGGTACTATGGAAGCATTGAGAAGGGGAGCCATTCCTACCTTGGTGGAGTCTGGGAGAGTTTCTGGACAAGAAACTCAACAGCCTAAGTAAAGTACTTTGTAACTACCTCATTTATCGCCCTTATCATACCATTTTGAAATGATCTGTATAAAGGTTCATCTACTCCATAAATAGAGTTTTTCCAGCGTAAGAAGTATGTCTTTGTTTTCATTGTTTGTCGAGTCCTCACAGGGATCTGATATATTGTCAATATATTCAACAACTATTTGTTCAACCAATAAAAAGGAAAAAAAAGGAAGGAAGGAAAAATAAAAGGAAGGGAGGGAGGGAGGGAGAAAGGAAGGAAGGAAGAAAGGAAGGAAGGAAGGAAGCAAGTAAGGAAGGAAGGAAGGGAAAGAAAGAAGAAAGAAAGCAAGAAAGACAGAATAAAAAAGAAGAAAGAAATAAAGAAGGAAAGAAAAGAATGAAGGAGGGAAAGATAAAAGGAAGGGTGAAGAAAAGGAATTGAGAGTTGCTAGGAGTTACACAGAAGGCGAAGAAGTGAGTGGGCAATTTATTTCAGGAGAGAAAGGAACAAGAATAAAGGAATGGAGACATGAAATAGTAGGATGTATCTAGATAAGCTTGCTAAAAATGTTAAATAAACCCATAAGTTGGCAATAGGTGAAGATGAATGGTTTAGCTGAGCGTGCAATTAGGGCGTCATTTAAATTATGGTAAGAGGGTCATTGTGTCAGAATAGAGAAGAAGCCTAATAGATTTTTCAACTCTGAGTCTAATATAGTTTGACTGTGGAAAAACTGTTTAATCTCTTGAGTCTCACTTCATTATAAAATGGAGTATTACTATGTTCTTCTAAGTGTTTATGCAAGCAATTAGAAGTGATTGATATAATGCAAGGTTGAATATATATTGTGTATGTAAGAAATATATAGATACAAGGAATGTATCAGTGGCCGGGTTTGGTTTCCCTTGCTTGTGGAGAAAACAACAACCACAACAAAAACCAAACTCCAACTGTTTTTGTCCAGTGTCAATTTGATCAATGTCCCTCAGATGGTGTGTAGGTATAAGGTAAATGAGCAGTCCAGACGTCCAGAACCCCAGAGGTTGAGTTCATGGCCATTTGCTAAAGACCTCATTCAGAAATCTGGAAAAGCCCGCTTTCCCTCAGTCCTTGCCTCTCATCTCCTCTACATCTAACAGATGGGTTCCTCGAAATACTTTTATTCAAAGTAAAACTTCCTTTTGTAAAAAATATATCTATAACTTTCGGCCTTTTGACATAATCATAATAAGATGAAAAGAAGTAAGTTTAAAGAAAAAAATCATTAAAAGTTGCTTATTGGGGAAGAAGGCATTAAAACAGCTGGACTTTGACCGATTTCCTCCTTTTTGGGGGAAACACTTACTGAAAATATGGCAAGTTACCCAGTGTAATCTCATTGTAAACATGATAACTGACCTCCTAATGAATAAACTCATGACATTTGCTAGAAGGAGAGACCTGGTCTATGTGATGTTCTTTGCGAGCTGTCTCTTGTTTAAGATTGCTTGTGGCAAACAAGTCTTGATTCAAGGGGTTTATGCATCACGGTCCTCTGGAAAGTGTCATATAAGTCCTGTAATGACCTAGGTATTAAAGAGAGATGTTTCATAACCTCAACACTACCAGATGTGTGAGGTGACCTACAGACCTCACTTAGAGACTTCAACTGTTAGGATGGGCCAGCGAGCATGTCTAATGCCAGAAGGAAGGGCCTGGGAAGCCACATGGGTGGTCCCAGGTCTCTCTCCATGTTCTGCCTGATAACTGCATTCTTTATTTATGATAGACATAAATCTGATTTTAAAATTTGATGCTTTATGTTTTCTCAGTGATTGATTGAATATACCCGTGAAATGGAGAATGCCCAATAGATTTATGGCTTTCTAGTTGGGTAACTTAGTGGTTGTATACACTGAGCAATGAAACTCAAAGAAAATATTTGGGGAATATGATGTTTTTGACAGATTGAGCTTGAGCCCCTGCTAAATAGCTGGGTAAATGTTTCAGCCTTAATTTGATTTATAAACCCAAACACAGGGAGAGACTGGGGAGAAAATGGGGGTAGAAGTAATCATTTGGAGTTACGTGTATATGGGGAAACAATATGATTGAATATAATTGACCTCTGTGAGGAATTATGTATGGAGGGCAGAGACTTGATAAGAGATGAGCAGAGAAAGAAATATTTATGAAATCAAAGAAGTAAGCAGAAAGGAGATCCTGGGCATTGGCACTACACAGAATTTCAAAGTGGTCTGTTGTGACAAACAGCTAGACTTGAAATAAGAGATTTCCTGTGGTTTATCAACCCATCAGTTAACAGTGATTTTCACCAAAAATGATCTCAGTTGGGTTTGAAATTTTAAAATCTTATTATTTTAGGAGGAAGTAAGATTACATACAAGGAAGTAAGAAGAGAGAATGTGCAAAGGTTGCAGTTAGGAGTATCCAAGGCTAGGAACAGCAAAGAGGATTTACAATATGGGAAACAGATGGTATACCTGATGAAAACCAAAATTTTCCAGCATTTGCTTTCAACCAATCAAAGCTCCTACAACCCCCAGGTACAGAGACATCTGGGTAGAATTGTGACTGGTGCAAAGCCCACACCATGTTTTTTGCCCCATGCATCCTATTATTGATTGGCGGACTTCCCCCTGCTTAGTGCCTTGTTTTCCTCACTGAGAGTAAAATTTCCCCATTAAAAAATAATAATATAGGGAAAGTAGACACCTTGCAAATTTATAACCTACAACCTACAATATTTTTCATTCAGTATTTAATTTTTTCCCATTTTATATGCTCTATACCAAGTCAAGAAAGTACATCTAAAACCATGAATATCAGTAACCAAGAACAGACTAATAAATATCTTTCCTTGGGTTATACTGTTGTTTTCAGTTTTACCAGCAATTTTATTCATTCACTGGTTGCTTGGTTTTAAGGAAAACTCCATTTCATTGAGATCCTTGTGTTGTTTGTCTGTGTTATTTTATAATGCTATTATGAGATACAGCTTTAAGTGTTTATTAAAGATTTAAAAACACACAATTGGTGTAATTTAATTGAAAAATGTTAGCATTTCTCTATAAAATTAGTGAACTATTTCTAATGTTTTGTTTTCTGAAATTGCCTTGGAGGGGAAGAAACGAAAGCATTTCTGTTTTCCTTGCAATGGCATAATTTAAAGTCAGCCCAGTGTTATGTGTGATCAAATTTGTAATAATCTGTCACTGCTGGCAGAGAAGAAAATTAAAGGAACCAATTTATTTCAAAGAAAGAAACATGTCACTTCCCCTCCCTCCACAGAAATAAAATAAAGTTCACTGGAGATGCTTTAATATCATTTTCATATTTCTGCTACAATGACAAGAATGTACTATCAGGAAGGAATTTTATCTCTCCCCAGCATCTGCAATAAAAACTCAATTCCTCAGAATCAAAAGTTTTATATTCTATACTTCACTGTTCTGTGTTTGTGGGTATAACTTGTTAAAACCTTCAACTTGACTCCGTGACAGTTCTCTCTTTGTTTCTCAGCAGGTCACTACCCTCCTGGGGAAGAGCTGAATATGCATCTGTGTTTTGGAGCCAGGAGGTCAGGAGATTAGAGAACATTGCTCTATCTCATAAATTTATGGACATAATCCTCCAGAGCAAAAATTAAGCCTGAAGTTAAGGCTTGAAATATAGAATGTTAGTAAACCTCTCTACATTATCAAGAATAGACTGTTAAATAGACGGTAGAAAATAAAAATGTGACCTGCTTCCCTGGCTGTGGCAGTAATTAACTGCGTGCTTAGGTAAATATATATTCAGTGCTTGAGATAATTGGAAAAATACTGAGACCTTCTTTCTGGGTTCTCTCCATAAATATCCCCACATAGCTGCTGAAGAATGTGTATAAATGTGTCTGGTTTTTTAGCCTTAATCTAAATAAAGAAAATATGTTTATGAACATAGTTTGAAGAATAGGTGAATTACAGTCCAATTCAGCTTTAAAAAATAATATTTCCTTCCCCAAACAGATCTTTTCCAAATAAACTAAAAGCTTATATATATATTTTGGTGTCAAAGATCATCTTTACTAGTTTTTAAATGCAGTATGGGTCTCTGGTTTAATATTGTCAATTCTTGCCAAATTAAGTTGTTTTTAAGTAAAACCCCAATCAAAATTCTAACAAGGTTTCTTTACAGAATTGTTCTACTGACTCTATATGTGAGTATGTGAAGACCCAAGATGGACCAAATATTGTTCAGAAAAGCATAATAGGGGAGAATTTTTTCTGCTATAAAGAGCTCCTATAAAGCGATTATAATTAAAATAGTACAGCAGCAGAATAAAGTCCAATAGAACACAATAAAGAACCTGGAAACATAGCCACAGATAGATGGTAATTTCACATATGACAGATCATATATGTTAAATAAGGTATCACAAGCTAAGGGGTGAAATAGGAGATCATAAATGATCATGTTCGTTGGCTTTGTGTATAAAAGAATATACAAGTATATTCAAACTTTAGGTGTGACATGGGTTGGCTCTGTGTCCCACACAAATCTCATGTCCTGTTCTAATTCCCAATGTTGGAGGAGGGACCTGGTGAGAGGTGATTGGATCACAGGGGTGAATTCCCCATGTATTCTCATGATAGTGAGTGAGTTCTCATGAGATGTGGTTGTTTAAAAGTGTGTAGCATTTCCCCCTTAGCTCTCTGTCTCCTTCTCTGCCATGGTAAAATTTGCTTGCTTCCCCTTCATTTTCTGCCATGATTGTAAGTTTCCTGAGGCTTCCCAGCCATGCTTTCTATACAGCCTTGAGAAACTGTGAGTGAAATAAATGTCTTTTCTTCATAAATTACCCAGTCTCAGGTAGTTCTTTATACCACTATGAGAATGGACTAAGACAGAAAATTGGTACCAGAGAAGTGTGGCATTGATATAAAGATACCTGAAAATGTGGAAACAGTTTTGGAACTGCTAAAGGACAAAGGTTGGAACAATTTGGAGTGCTCAGTAGAAGACAGGAAGATGTAGAAAAGTTTGGAATTTCCTAGAGACTTGTTGAATGGTTGTGACCAAAATACTGGTGATATGGACAATAAAGTCCAGGCTGAGGTGGTCTCTGATGGAGTTTGGGAACTGGAGTAAAGGTTACTCTTGCTATGCTTTAGCAAAGAGACTGGCAGCATTGTGCCAATGCTCTAGAGATCTGTGGAACGTTGAACTTGAGAGTGATGATTTAAGGCATCGGGCGGAAGTAATTTCTAAGCACAAAGCATTCAATAGGTAGCCTAGGTGCTTCCAAATGCCTATGCTTATTTGCATAAACAAAGAAGTGACTTGAAATTAGAATTTGTATTTAAAAAGAAAGTAGAGGATAAAAGTTTGGAAAACTTGCAGCTCTACCCTGTGATAAATAAGAAAAACCCATTTTTCTGGGGAGGAATTGAAGGCTGCAGAAATTTGCGTAAGTAAAACAGAGCCAAATGCCAATAGCCAAGACAATGGAAAAAAATGCCTACAAGGCACTTCAAAGACCTTCCCGGTAGCCCTTCCCATTACAGGCCTGAAGGCCTAGGAGGGAAAAATGATTTCCTTGGACAGGCCTGGGGCCCCACTGCTCTGTGCAGCCTCAGGAAATGGAGCCCTGCATCCCAGCTGCTCCAGCTCCAGCCATGAGTAAAAGGGGCCAAGGTAAAGCTTGGGTCATTGCTTCAGAGGGTGCAAGCACCATGCCTAGGTGGCTTTCACATGGTGTTTGGCCTGCGGGTGTGCAGAAGACAAGAGTTGAGGTTTGGGAGCCTCTGCCTAGATTTCAGAGAAGGTATGAAAATGCCTGGACCTCCAGGCAGAAGTCTGTTGCAGGGGCAGAGCCCTCATGAAGAACCTCTACTAGGGTAGTGTGGAGGGAAAATGTGGGGTTGGAGCACTCACAAAAAGTCCTTACTGTTGCACTGCCCTCATAGGGTGGTGATAAGAGGGCCACTGTCCTCCAGACCCCAGAATGGTAGATCCACTAACAGTTTGTACCATGCACCTGGAAAAGCCACAGGCACTCAATGCCAGCCCTAGACAGCAGCTGAGGAGGCTCTACGCTGCGGAGCTATTATACCAGAGCTGCTCAAGACCTTGGGGGCCCATCCCTTGCATCAGTCTGACCTGGATGTGAGACATAGAGTCAAAGGAGATTATTTCAGAGCTTTAAGATTTAATGAATTCCCTGCTGGGTTTTGGACTTTCAGGGGGCCTGTAGCCCTGTGTTTTGGCCAATTTCTCCTATTTGTCTGGGTGCATTTACCCAGTGCCTTTACCCTCATCATATCATTGAAGTAACTAAATTGTTTTTGATTTTACATGCTGATAGGTGGAAGAAACTTGCTTTGTCTCAGATGATACTTGGGACTTGGATTTTTGAGCTAATGCTGGAATGAGTTAAGACTTTGGGGGATGGTTGGAAAGCCATGATTGTGTTTTGAAATGTGAGAAGGACATGAGATTTGGGAGGGGCCATAGGCTAAATGATATGGTTTGGCTCTGTCCTCCCACCCAAATCTCAGGTCAAATTGTAATTCCCACTGTTGAGAAAGGGACCTGAAGAGAGGTGATTGGACCATGGGGTGGGTTTTCCCCTTGTTGTTCTCATGATAGTGAGTGGGTTCTCATGACATCTGGTTGTTTAAAAGTGTGTTGCACTTCCCTCTTCTCTCTCTCTCTCCTGCTCTGCCATAGTAAGACATATTTGCTCCCCCTTTGCTGTCCACCATGATTGTAAGTTTCCTGAGGCCTCCCCAGCTATGGTTTCTGTACAGCCTGAGGAACTGTGAGTCAATTAAACCTCTTTTTTTTTTTAATAAATTACCCAGTCCAAGGTGGTTTTTTACAGCAGTGTGAGAATGGACTAATAAAAGGTCATACCTTAACATATAATTCAAGGATAATTAAAGTTCCAAAAATGAAAAGCAAAACTTTAAAATTTTGTTTTTTAATTTTAATTTTTTTATGTTTATAGATTTAAGGGTTACAAGTCAAGTTTTGTTACATAGATATATCATGTAACAGTGATGTTTGGACTTTTAGTGTAGTCATCACCTGAATGGTGTCCATTGTACCCATAAAGACATTTCCCGTCCCTTACCAACCTCCCACCCTTCTGAGTTCTCAGTTTTTATTATTCCACGCTCTATGTCAATGTGTACATGTTATTTAGCTTCCATTTATAAGTGAGAACAAGTGGTATTTGACTTTCTTTTTCAGTTATTTCATTCGATGGGCTCCAGTTCCAATCAAGATGTTGCAAAAGATACAATTTTGTTCTCTTTTTATGGCTTATATATATATACACATACACACACATATACCACAATTTTTTAATCCAATTATCCATTGATTGTTAGGTTAATTTCATATATTTGATATTGTGAATAGTGCTGCAATAAACATACAAGTATGGATATCTTTTTGATATAATAATTTATTTTCCTTTGCATAGATACTAAGTAGTCTGATTGCTGGCTCAATGGTTCTAATTTTAGTAAGAGAAAATATAAAAAAACTTTTCTTGTACCTAGTTCAAAATAATAAATCACAAATTATTTTACAATTGGAATACTAGCATAAGTTAGTTGCACACAAGCTCCTCTTAACAAATCAATATTCAAACTATATAAAGCAGCTTCCAAAATTAATGAAAAGAATATGAATTTTTAAATACTCTGAAGATATATGAGATAAATTAATCACAAAATAGGAATCCTGAATGGCCAAGAAACAAATGCAATGCTGTTCAACCTCACGGTACTAAGAAAGGCAAATAAAAAATTCAGGTGGTTATAATTTTACAACTATTTGTTTTGGCACCATGAAGAAGTCTGAACATAGTAAATAATCACACAGGTAAAAAAAAATCACCAAATAATATTGTTTTTTAGAAAGTAATTTTGTGTAGCCACTTTTGAAGATAATTTTCCAATATGTTGTACACACAATTATGTGCATAAATTACCAGTCAATAATTCTACTTGTGAACATTTAATTAATTACTTAGTTAATGAATAATTAAATACATATTTATGAAGTTTTTATTAAGTGTTGAACATTTCTTTTTGTGCTAGGGCTATAGTTGTTAATAAGATGGAAACATTTTCTATGCACAGGAAATGTGCATTCTTGTGGGAGAAGACAAAAATAGAAATAAATATGTAAACATACATTATAAAAGTGCTGCAAATAAACATTAAAACAAAATAAAGGAAACACAGCATGGAAGCTGTGCTATTTTAAATTAGATTGTTTCGGAATGGATTCACCAAGAAAGTGACAATGAGTTGATATTGAAATGGGATGAATGAGAAACAAGTTTAAGATCCAGAAGCATCATTTAGTTAGATAAGGAATCATAGTGTGGTTATAGCAATGTTGAGGGAAGTTAAGAGTGTTAAGGAGATAAAATCACTGAAACATCCCAGAACATGTGAAGACTGTTAGGCCACAATGGATCATTTGCTTTTTATTCTAAGTGTGATGAGAAAGTTTATTAGAGAGTTATTTTCTGCAGGGCAGTGCTACAGTTTTGAAAACTCACTGTGGTTATTTTCTAGATAATTTGCTATAGAGTCTTGAAAAAGTCGAAGGAATACCATTTAGAAAACTCCTCCATTTTATTTAGGTAGGATGTATATACCCAAAATATACCTGAAAGTGTGGAAGCCACTTTTGATTGGATGATAGCTGTGAGCTCCAAGACTCTAGGCATAGAAAGAGAGTTGCCAATATATTTTGAAGGAAGTTTCTGCAAGACGTGCTCAATGTTTAAAAATAGTATTTGAAAGAAATAGGTTCCATACTGCTAGGAGGCTGCTCCACTTCCAGCTTTTTAGCTTCAGTGGCTAGATATGAGATAGTGTCATTTCCTAAGAGACAAAGGACTATGGAAGAGTAGGTTTGGAACAGTGTGGCAATTAAAATCCTCTTTCACAATTAAATTTGTGGTATCTATTAGATTTGCAAGTGATGATGCCAAGTAAGCAGTTGAAAGTTCAGGGCAGAAGAAAAATGTTGGAAAATTATGAGCATATGAATGATATTTTATTTAGTATTGCATGTTCATATTTAGGGAGTCGTTAGAGACAAAGGATCGTATTCAGGGAGTGGTTAGAGACAAAGAACAAAGGTGCAGTAACAGTCCTGAGACACTCAACTGTTTATATTTCTTGAAGAAGAAGTATCCTCAGCAAAGGAGACTGAGAAGGACCAGCCTATGCAAGGGGGATAAACTGAATGTATTCAGGAGTATTGTATAAGCACAAGAATGCTTCTCTAAGGATGTCCACTGTTATGTTGCCTTTTGTTCCAACCAAAACACACAACCAAAATTCATTAGGGAAAGAATGGAAAAAAATAAAATACAAAATTCTCATTTAAACTTATTAGGTTTAGCTGCTAAATGAATGTACTAATATGAATGATGTTGAAAACAATGTTGAGTATTAGGCTTAACAATCTATGTAGATAATTATATAATATATAGAAAATATTCTCCCAGAAATTATTACTGTGTTTCTATGGCTTCATATATTTTATAAAGTACAAACAGCAAGAAAATACAACTTTAAGGTAGTGGCTACCATTTTGAAAGGAGTCAGTGGAATTAGATGACAATACAGGACTTTAGGATATTAGTGATATTATCACTTTTTAAAATATGAATCAAACCTGGAAAATATTATTTGTTGAATTTTTCAGTTAGTTTCCCAAATATTTTTATTTTATTTTCTATGCTTTTTGTATATTTAATTTTTTATAAATAGAAAAAGAATTATTTGTAAAAAAAATCATGAATGGATAAATTATGATATTAAACATTAAACAGTAAAGATAAAAATTAGCTAATCATAATAATATATCTATATCATTAAAATACTTTTCCTTGAACAAATAAATGAAAATATACAAAAGAACTCTGAACAAAGAAATACTATGGGACGATGCTATGGCTCGAATATGGTATCTTTGTCCCCATCAAAACTCAGGTTGAAATGTGATCCTCACTGTAACACTTGTGAGAGGTGGGTCCTGATGGGAGGTGTTTGGGTCATGAAGACTCCATCTTTGTGGGTGGCTTGTTACAAATTGCATGGTAGTGAATGAGTTTTCATTTTGCAGAGACTGCATTAGTTCTTGTGGGAATGAGTTAGTTCCTGTAAGAGTGGATTGTTATGAAGTCAGGAGCCAGCACCCTTCTTAGGTTTTGCTTGTTCACGTGTGCCAACTTCCCCTTTCACCTTCTCCACCGTGTTATGGCGCAGCATGAAAGCCCTTTCCAGAAGCCAAGGCCATGCCATTGAGCTTCCTAGACTGCAGAAGCATGAGCTAAATAAATCTCATTTTAAAATAAATGACCCCAACTCAGGTATTCTGTCCTAGCAACACAAAATGGATTACAACAAAAATTGCTACCAAGCGCTGAGGTGTTGCTCTAAATATACCTGAAAATGTGGAAGCCGCTTTAGAATTGGATGATGGGTAGAGGTTAAAGAGTTTGGAGGAGCAGGCTAGAAAAAGACTGTACTGTCAAAAATGGAGCATAAGGGTGATTCTGATGAAAGCTCAGGAAAAAGAACAAGGGAAAGTTTGGAACTTCTGGTTTAATTATTGTGACCAGAATGCTAATAGAAAAGTGGACAGTAAAGGCCACTCTGATGAGGTCACAAAAGGTATTGGGAACTAGAGAACAGGCCATGCTTGTTACACTGTAACAAAGAATTTGGCTGCATTATGTCCATGTACTAGCACTTTGTGAATTTTTGGCAGGAAAATTTCTAAGTAGCAAAGCGTTCATAAAGCAGTACGGTTATGTTTAACAGCATACGTTCAGTTGACAGCAAAGGAATGATCTAAAGGTGGAATTTATAATTAAAAAGGAAGCAGAGTGAAAACATTTAGAAAATTAGCAGCTTGGCTGTGTGGCAGAGAATGAAAGACCATTTTCAGGAGAGGAATTCGAGTGGGCTGGCGGAGGACCCATGGGCCTTGATAAAGAGATTAGCATAGGTAAAATGGAGCCAGGTGCTAAGAATCAGAACCATGGGGAAAAAAGCCTCAAAGGCATCTCAAAGATCTTTCAGGTGGCCCTTCCCACCCCAGGCCCAGAGACCTAGGAGGACAGAATATTTTCCAGGGACAGGCCTGCAGTGCCACTGACCTGTACACGCTGGGACACTGCCTGTTTGCATATGTCCAATTGCCCTTTCACCCTCTTTTCCACATTATGATGCAACACAAACACCCTTGTCAGAAGCCAGGACAATCCCCTTGAACTTCTCAGCCTGCATCACTGGGATATAAATAAACCTCTTTCTTTTATAAATTGTCCAGCCTAGGTTTTTCTGTTATAGCAACACAAAATGGACAAAGATAGGGGATTTACACTGTGTGACTATTAATTGAATTCAAAAACCTAAGATTATACTATGAAAAAATGGGGGGGTGCAGTAATATATCTATAAATGTCTTACAGGGATTTTAAGTGATATTGTTTGGGGCTTAATATTTCTTGAGGGGAAATTTAAATATGCAAATATATCAAAATTATTGAAAACATTTTGAGTTTTATATCCTACTAGGTTTTCTACTTTTTATTATCTAAGGATATAATCTAATATGCCCCAATGTAGACAATTGTTACAGCATTTTGTAGTAATTAAAATTTGGTTGCAAATTACACATTTAATAATAGATGTTTAGTTAAATAAATCCAGACACATACATATTAGGGAACACTATGTAACCCAAGAAAAAAACTAACATGTTGTGGAAATTCAACGTGTCAGAAATGTACTAATCAATATTAATTTATAATAAGTTAATTAACATTAATAAAAAATAATAATATTAAATGAAAATGAGGAGAAAAGTGAGCCAAAGTAAGAGAAAATAGAATAAAGGCTGGTTATTTTAAGAACATAAATAAATATAATGGTAGAAACAACATGTTAATAATAGTTAATGCATCAGTGGATTAATAAGCAATTTTAATTTTTATTCTTTGAGATTTCCTATATTTTTAAACTTTATGAAGTAGGTATTTTTTATCAGTATGAGGGTGAGAAAATAATTATCATTTGAAACAAAGCAAAATAAAGTACTACTAAAGATGTATTTGTCAATATATAAAATAGGTATCCAGTATTAATAACAAGCCAAAATAACATAGTGAAAAAAATAATAACTTGATACAGAAGATACACATGACATATTATTTGCCCAAAGAATACTAAACCAGCAAAAAAACCTTTAGGGACATATGCCTCATTTTGTTAGCATTTGGCACAATATTTAAAAATCAAAAGGAGAATAAATGGTGACAGTGAGAATTAAAGTAAAATCATTCATTTTACTCTAATGTGTAAAGTCATGTAAATCTTTATACCCTATTGAATAGGACCTTCCGGAAGAAATATAATGTAAGTCTACAATGCAAGGCACATATTTAATTTTTAATTTTCTAGTGGACCCATTTTTAAAAGTAAAAAGATGAAATTACTTGAGGCTATATTTAATTAACCAATTATTTCCAAAATGTTTTACTATCTAATTAATATCAAATTACTAAAGAGATATTTTACATTCTTTTGTCTATTCCAAGACTTTGAAATCTGGTGTGTATAATTTACCTTAAAACACATCTCAATTCAAACTAGACACGTGCCTAAGACACCATGAATTGGAAGACATATTATTTTCTTCTTTATTTATTTTTCTAAAAATTATAGGGTTTTTTGTTTTTGTTTTTGTTTGAGAAAGGGTCTCACCCTTTTACCCATACTAGAGTACAGTGACAGGATAATATGGTTCACTGCAGCCTTGACCTCCCTGGGTTCAGGTGGTCTTCCTGCCTCAGCCTCCCAAACAACTGGGACTACAGACACGTGTCACCTGTCTGGCTAATTTTTGTAGAGGCCAGGTTCCACCATGTTGCTCAGGCTGGTCTCAAACTCCTGGACTCAAGCAATCCTTCCGCCTCAGCCTCCAAAAGTGCTGAGATGGCAAGTGTGAGCCACCACACCCAGCCGACCATTATCATGTACACTAGTAAGAAAGAAGAAAATGATGACAATCAAACTATGATGAAATACTAAAAAACACTGACTGTACTATCTCAATGTGACAGATGTTAATACTAGAAAAAATATGTATTAGAGGCAATAAGTTCCAGAACTATTTTATCTACAGTCTTCCACTTGCTGTTGATAGAACCTATTTTACATCAGCTTAACCAATAAAGAGAAATGTTGCTGATCACTTGAACAGAATGTTGAGAAACACTTCAGCTTTAGGCACTGCTGAAATGATGGCTTCTAATGACATTATCAAGACTCAGCCTCCCTTATTCTTAGATTCTACTTGATAAGCAAGATGGCTGATGTCATTTCATCTCATGTGGTGCCAGTTTACAGACTTGATTAGAGAGAGAATCTTTTCTAATAGTTGTAAGAGAAAAATCCCAGAGTTATTCTGATTGGAGTTTAATAGTGTCCCTATCTATTAGTCATTCATTCACTGTAGCCAAGATTTGAAGTTCTCTGATAAGCCAAATCTGTCTATTGCTCCTCCCTGTGATGGGAGTAAAAGGCAGAATCAGCCCTTTCCAGAGATGATGTCTCCAAAGGTAAGAGTCTGAGCAAACAAAATAGCAGATATGCACTAAGAGGAAGGCACACACAAAGAAAATCTCAGTAATTTTAAACTCATATTCTTTGCCCATATTATTTTTGAAAAAGCAAAAAGAGATAGTGAGGAGAAATAAAATTTTTCTCTTATACACTTCCCCAACTATTAAAAGCATCAACTTTGTATATGTAGACTCTTCAGTAATAATGCCTCACATTCTTTATCAACCTCAGTTCTTAAACAGTAACTTAGGACTACATTGAGTGTCTCCTAGGAATTTATAAACAAATATTTAATTGACCAGCAACAATATGAAAGTCACTCTTTTGTTTCTGCAGAGATTAAAAAAAAATGTGCACCTCATAACCCAAGCCCTTAGTGAGCTTCCATATTGTGGGGAAAAACAGATATGGAAATATGGAAATTTAACTAGTACTATAATACAGACACATATTAAACAAAGAAATAAACCATAAAATCAAACATGATTCTTGCTAAACACGTGATTTCCAGACTCAGTGGGGACTCCGCTAACCCCACCAGCTAGCCAAATATCATCCTTCAGCCAAACATGTTCCTAAGTCCACAATGGGGTGACTTTCTGCTGAGCAAAGTGCTGCACGTTCTAACTCTTCCTCCAGCCAAGAACTGGCACAACAGAGGACAGTCCCAGTCAGCTGGGCATTGGTGCTAAAGTGTGAAGGATTTGAGAAAATGTGAAATCGGCTGTTAAACCATGTTTTTCTCCTTTCGATATTAAAGAAAGTTAGTAGAAAACCCCTTTTTCAGAAAAACACGTTTAGTACTGAAATTAGTTTCATTGAGCAACCTAGGAGTAAACATTTTTATTTTCTAAAGGGTGAAGACTTGAGTTTATGTCAATTCTATTTGAGATATTATCTTTCTTACTAAATATGTTTTTTGCATTCATTCACTTTGCATTCCATCATTCATAAGATCATACATTCAACGTGGGCTTATTGGTCTCTATTACTTCTCATCAATGTGGTACAGGGCCTAAATAGAGAGAAAACAAATTTCGCCTCCTCCTTCTTGAAATTTACATGCATTAATACAGACAAGTACGTCAAGAACTAAATGTAATTAAACAACTTTTTTATAAAGTATAACAAATAGGCATAAATTATGGGGGACATTGAGGAACCATGGAGAGAAGGATCTTCTCACAGCTAAAGCAATTGAGAAAGGCTTTAACTAGCTGATAATATTTGGTTTTTACAAACCAAACTTTTGGAATAAAGGTAACTGTGTCACTGACTCCTAGCCAGTGGGAACCCCATCAGAAAGGGTCTAGAAACTTAGTACCTCCTGTTGCATTGGTAGAATGGGGAGTCATTCAGAGAAGCTGGAATTCTGTATGTATTTCACTGACTCCAGGGCTTTTTACTGTGCTCTCGTAATTGAGCAAATTCTAGTGAATATGCTGTGCACCTTGGTCAGTTTTTTTTTCTTTCTTCATTTGCATAGGTCTGCTTTGGGAAATATCATATAATTCAAGCCAATCTTTGTTTTCTATATGTGTAAAGAACCAGAAAGCCTAGTTGCATGGGGCACTCAGGGAAGCTGTCGTCTCTGTTATGAAATGGTTTGTGGCTATTTATTCTATGAGCACCGCAGAGGTCTACTTCAGGCTAATTATTCCAGTGGATTGACACCTCAAATTATAGACTTCATCATTCATATAAGTGATCAGGTAAGCCCATGGGTACAAATAGGATTTTACTGTGACTTTCAGCACCTTTTTCCCAAAGTATACCAAGCCACCCACACATATGGCATGGAGAAACATTAATGAGTATTCTGATTCAATATTTTTATCTTGTGTGTATTATAAAGTTCTGACATCGTAAAAACCTTTCTGGCTGGGGAGACACTATCCCTACTTGGGTTACAGAGTAGCCAATTCTTAGAGACAGCAAGAGGCTCATTTGGGGTATACCTTTATTATTATTATTATTATTATTATTATTTTTTAATTATTATACTTTAAGTTCTAGGCTACATGTGCACAATGTGCAGGTTTGTTACATATGTATACATGTGCTGTGTTGGTTTGCTGCACCCATTAACTAGTCATTTACATTAGGTATATCTCCTAATGCTATCCCTCCCCACTTCCCCCTCCCCCAACCCCACAACAGGCCCCAACATGTGATGTTCCCCTTCCTATGTCCAGATGTTCTCATTGTTCAATTCCCACCTATGAGTGAGAACATGTGGTGTTTGGTTTTTTGTCCTTGCGATAGTTTGCTGAGAGTGATGGTTTCCAGCTTCATCCATGTCCCTACAAAGGACATGAACTCATCCTTTTTTATGGCTGCATAGTATTCCATGGTGTATATGTGCCACATTTTCTTAATCCAGTCTATCATTGATGGGCATTTGGGTTGGTTCCAAGTCTTTGCTATTGTGAATAGTGCTGCAATAAACATACATGTGCATGTGTCTTTATAGCAGCATGATTTATAATCCTATGGGCATATACCCAGTAATGGGATGGCTGGGTCAAATGGTATTTCTAGTTCTAGATCCTTGAGGAATCGCCACACTGTCTTCCACAATGGTTGAACCAGTTTACAGTCCCACCAACATTGTAAAAGTGTCCCTATTTCTCCACATCCTCTCCAGCACCTGTTGTTTCCTGACTTTTTAATGATCGCCATTCTAACTGGTGTGAGATGGTATCTCATTGTGGTTTTCATTTGCATTTCTCTGACTGGCAGTGATGATGAGCATTTTTTCATGTGTCTGTTGGCTGCATAAATGTCTTCTTTTGAGAAGTGTCTGTTCATATCCTTTGCCGACTTTTTGATGGGGTTGTTTGATTTTTTTTCTTGTAAATTTCTGCCCTGTCTTGCCTTTCCTGCAGAAATTCCAATGAGGACTGTGGCCTGGGATCTCCTCTTGCTCCTTCTCTTTCTGCCTCTTGACCAATGCAGGTGCTTTCCCAGTGGTTCTGCCTGATGTGCCATGCTCTTGTTTCTAAGACTCTCTGAACCTTTCTGAGTCTTCTCTTGTGGTTGCATCTGACTGACCATCACATAAAAGAACAAAGAATGGTGAGTGTCTTTTCTCAGGAGAGGAATTAACTAATATACTGAATGCTTTATAGTATACAAAGCAACTCTCAATATACAAATTTATTTAATTTTTATAAAAATGCACTAGGTGGAAATAAAATACTCGAAGTCAGAAGTCCTGAATGTACTTTGCTTAATTGTGTGAACTCAGGAAATTCTTAACATTTTCTTCATGTTTTACTTAGAATAGGAGCCTTTTCCAGTGTCTCAAGTCTGCTTAGAGAATGACATGAAGCTATACACTTTAAAATGATGCATAAAGTGTTAGTCCTTATGAAAGTTCCATTGAGATAGGTGGTCAAAGTTGTAGTGCTCCCAATATTTGTTCCCATTTCCCACTTTGTGGTGTGGAATACTGTATTTCCAAAGCCCTTGCATTTATGGCAGGGTCATGTGACTAGTTCTGGCCAATGACACGTGCACAGGAGCGACATCACCACTACTTGGATCTAGTAATGACAAAGCTTTGGTTAACTCTTGAGTTTTTCCTTTGTTCCTACCAGAAACAGGAAGATGAGATATTCTAAATAGTGTAGCTATCGCACCGTGGACTTACGTCCGACTCTCTGAGAGACTATTTGCAAAACAGTCTTCTCTGTTTCAAACTAGAGTATCTCTCTTTCATTTTGTGTTTCTATGTGACAAATTCATGTATACTCAAAAGTAGAAAGAATATAATAAGCTCATGTATGTCTCACCTAGTTTCAACCATCGATAACCCATGACTAATTTTGTTTCATTGATGCCTCCAGCTTTTCCACCTCCAGCTGATTTGAAGCAATCTTCTGTTATCACTTAATTTGATTTGTGATAGTTCACTGTGTACCTCTAAAATATGACTTTTGTAAAGCATGATTAAAGTACTACATGACATCAAAAATATGAGAATACTTCCTTAATAGCATCTAAGATCTTGTCAGTGTTCAAATTTCCTCCACCGCATCTCACATTTTTATATTTTTTCTTGTTTGAATCAGGATAAAGTAAAGCTCATATATTGCAAGTGTTGAATAACATGTCTCAAACCTTTTGCAAAACATGATAGGGTTTCCCTTTTGACTGTATCGTTTTTATGTGTGTGTTTTTGTTTCAATTTCTATGTTAATATAGCAGTCAATTTTTCCTCAGAGTTCCACAGTGTGGATTTTAATGATATTACCTACACAGAGTCCTTCATCACGTTCTTCTGTCTTCTGTATTTTTTCCTAAATTGCTAGTTAGAGCTGGAAACTTGATTAGATTCAGATTATGTTTTATGTTCCAACTTCTTTGCATGTAATGTATTGCATTTCTAGCAGAATGCATGCATGGCCTCATCATCTTATTTTCTCTGATGTTAACAGCCATTGATAAATATCATCTGCATTCATTATTTGATTAGGGATTCTAAAATATCAATGTTATAATTTTATCATTATTTTTCATATGTTATCTTTAATACATCTGAAAAGAAAAGCTACTTCTCATCAACTATTGGTTATCCTAAGATACAATTTGATTAGAATATGCAGAATAGATACTTGATTTTCAGAATAAGAACTACATTCCCTAGCCTGTTTCTAAGGTGACAAATAAAATGTTTGTCTTATTTTGTTTTACAGAAAATATAAATTTATCAATTCAAGTATCTTCGATATGTGTTTTAAGGTGGGTTTCCTAGATATCCCATCCTAAGGCAAAGGCGTATTTATAACTATTGTATTGGAGATTGCTCCATTCTTAGAAAAACAATGGCAAACTATACTTTTCTCCATCTTGTATATTTTATACAGTTATCTTCCATTTCATATATATACTGAGTATTCCATTATGTAACTGTACTATATATTTCTTAACTGTTCCAGTAGACGTTTAGGTTACTTCAAACCTTTTGCTATTACAAATAGTGCTACAGTAAATAGCTTTGTGCATACATCTTTTTTTATATTAGTGGCAGTATACCTCTGTGATACCTTTCTGCCAGCGACATTGCTGGCTGAAAAAGGAAATGCATATCTAATTTACTAGATATTGCCAAATTCCCCTCCGTAGGGTTCATATCTTTTGGCATTGCTACTGGCAATATATGAGAGAAATCTGTTTCCCTACAGCTTTGCCAACAGAGTATGTTGACAAATCTAAATTTTTACAAAAAAAATTGAAAAAATTGTATTTTAGTGTAGCTTTAACTTCCATTGCTTATGTGGATCTTTTTGTATTTTAAAGAGCCATTTGGCTGTTTTTTTTCTTTTTAAGGAGAATTAGCTGTTCCTATTTTTTGAACATTTTTATATCAGGCAGTTGAGAATTTTCTCCTTCCTTTATATAGTTTTTCCAGCAGAATCATTATTTTTTATTTTTACGTAAGTTGGAAGGTGTTCCCTTTGGAAATTCTGATGTCGATCTGATTTTTGTTCTCTTTTTCGTAGCTCTTCTTTTGGAGGAGCTGGAATATCTCCCACTTTTTATTACTCATTTTGAAAGTTCAGTAATCTTACTTGATAATCTTGGTACATGTATTTAAGATTATATTTAAATATCCTTTATTCCAGAAAAGTTTTATAAAATTATGATTTACAACATGTGCCCTCTTTCATTGTCTGGAATTCTTTGGAAACCCCTATTTTATGTATGCTTACTTTTCTTATTTATCTATTAAATCTGTCACTTCTTTCATATCATTTTAAGCAATTTTTTTATTTAAAAAATGTAATTTTAAAATTACAGTTTTTCCTCATTCTCTTTTATATGAGGCAAAATTTTTGGTATTCATTTGCTCTTTCATTCCTTCTAGTGTAATGTTAACTTCTGAAATGGCTTTTTTTCTTGCTTTTTCTTCAGTTCTATCAGTCCTCATTTCAGATTATTTTGTCTAATCTTCTTAATATTGTAATTTATAAATCTAACATACTGTAATTTCCTAATTTCTATCATTTTCTTAAAATTTTTAGCCATTTTTGAAATAGTAGGTGAAAGGTTTGTGTTTGCTTGATTTTAATAGTTTTAGGGGATGGTATGTGTTTCTATTGTACTTTCATCCAACCTCTGTTACTTTTCCCATATTTAAATTAGATGGCTTTAACTATATTCTTAAGAAGAGAGGTTAGACCAGGATAGTTTTCCTAGATTCATACTTTTATAATTTCTTATCATGTTGCTAATGCAAAATATTCACAGATTAACTCTTGTAGTTTTTGAGATTTGCCTTCTCAGGTTTCATTGGGATTTTCTCTTTCTCTTGCATTTTCGTGTCTCTGTATTATTCAATTTAATTTTATTTTAAGCAATTTCTCCTTAGTTTGGGACAGTTTAGTTTCTATTCTGGACAGTGCTTCAGTTGTTAAGCTCAAATATGCATAAGACACAGCATCCCATGGGCAGTCAGGCATGTTGTGATACTCATTATCAAAGCCCCTTCCTTGTTTCACCTGTTCTCAGATGGGCTCAGCTACTCATGCTTCATGTGATCTTTTAGAGTCAATACTTGTTAATGATCAGATTCTGTGTTTCCAGCTCTCAGGACCTTCCCTCCATTCTTTCTGCCTAGTTGCTATTATGATGTCCACTTTGTTGGTAGTGGTTATTTAGCCCCTCATTAAAATATACTAGAGTTTGTGAAGATACCTAGTCACCTGGATTTTTGTATGCTTTCCATGTATTTTGTTTTGGTTGCTTTGTCTGTTTTTAAAGAGGGACTTGGGAATTCCAATAGCCTACTGCCTCAGTTACCAGCTTGCTCATACCTCAGATGTGTATTTTTTGTCTCCTGTGGTGTATCAGGCTTTCTACTAGACACGTAGGCGGGTAGGGGTGAGCTAACCAAAGCATGAGAGTACAGATGCTCCTAAACTTATGATGGGGTTATGTCCAGATACACCCATAGTAAGTTGAATATATTAAATATTAAAGATGCATTTAACACACCTAACCTACTGAGCATCATAGCTTAGCTTAGCTTACCTTAAACATGCTCAGAACACTTAACATTAGTCTACACTTGGGCAAAATCATCTGGCAACACAGTACACTGCAGAGTATCAATTATGTGCCCTTGCGTTTGCTGCAGCCTGCTTTCACTGCCCACACAGCATTGCAAGATAATTTTCTACTGCATATTCTCAGCTTAGAAAAGATCAAAATCAAAATTCAAAATACAGTTTATTCTGAATGTGTATTGCTTTCACACCATGTTAAAGTTGAAAATTTGTAGGTTAAACCATTGCAAGTCAGGGACCATCTGTATTAGTGATGATGTTTGAGGCTAGAGACATGAACAAAAAACAGTTTATATACTAGGCAAACAATGGCTAGTTGTAAAAGAGAGCATTATACAATTTTATTCAGGGAGCGACATGATGATACTTATATTTTAGGAGAAACATACCAGAGTCCTCTGAAAGCAGGTTGGAGAGAGATGCTTTGAAGGTAGGCTGTGATTAATTCTGAGATTTCTGCCTGCCATTCCAGAACATTTCCATCAGGCTCCCCCTTCTTCACCCCACTCTTTGAGTTGCCATGTTTTTCTTTACATATTTGAGAGTAGTGTTTATTAGCAGGTTTGTGTTTAAATTCTTCTGTTTTCGTTTTCAATTAGTTTATCCTGGACGAACATCACACTCCTTTAATTTTTTTTTTCTTTTTCTTTTTTTTTTTTTTTTGAGACGGAGTCTTGCTCTGTCGCCCAGGCTGGAGTGGAGTGGCACGATCTCGGCTCACTGCAAGCTCCGCCTCCCGGGTTCACGCCATTCTCCTGCCTCAGCCTCCCGAGTAGCTGGGACTACAGGCGCCCGCCACCACGCCCGGCTAATTTCTTTTTGTATTTTTAGTAGAGACGGGGTTTCACCGTGTTGGCCAGGATGGTCTCGATCTCCTGACCTCGTCATCTGCCCGCCTCGACCTCCCAAAGTGCTGGCATTACAGGCGTGAGCCACCACGCCAGGCCTAAATATTTTTAAAGATTTAAATATTTTAAAAATTACTGAAGTTTGGAAATATAAATACATTAGTTTTTCTTTGATTTTTAGAGTAACATGGCTACTATTGTCTATTTGCATTTCTAAGTGAATTTCAAAATCAGTTTGTCAACTTCCACAAAAGTAAAACTTGCTTGAATTTAGCATCCGGTAGAATCTATAAGACAATTTGAAGATAGCCAATATTTTACAATACTGCGTGTCTTCCAATCTATAAAATGTATCATGCTAAAACTGTAAGAAATAAAAAATGTCTATTGTTTGATATTAAAAGTAATTGATTCCACACTAAAATATGTCCAAGTAAATAAGCTACAGGTCTAACTGGCTACTCTCACATATTCTTGCAAATATTTAATGAAGCAATAATACAACTCTTAAAACAAAATCTTTCAGAAAACAAAATATAAGTGACAGCTTCTAACTTACAAGGCTGATACTCAAATCTGAAAAATATAAGAAAAAAATTTACAGACTAAACATAGATGCAAAAATACTAAACAATGTAGTAGAAAACTCCCATGCTTATCAGCAGTGGGATTGTGCCTGTGGACAGCCACTGCACTCCAGCTTGGGCAACATAGTCAGACTCTGTCCCTTAAAATAATAATAATAATAATAATACATTTTATATCCAACATTTTACCAATAGAATAGTGCATAAAGTCAAATTGTAGTTTATTCCAAGAATACAAGGTACTTAACAAAATTCATTAACATAACTCAACAATGTAATTCTATAATGAATAAAAGGAGAAAAATCCTTTTGTCATATCTATAGATGCAGAAGGAGAAATTAATATGTAATATTATAAATATTTCTTCACATTAACAATAAAAGGAAATTTATGATATTTTAATGATTAACTATAAAAAAGCAAATATCACATTTAATCATGAAATATTGAAAGCATTAATCCTGATGTTCTCAAATAAGGCAAGATCAGAAAATGAAAAACGAAGTTAACAAATTGTGTATATAGAAAATCCAAAAGAATCTACAAAGAAAAAATTAAAAATGTGTGAATATACCATGATTGCTGGGTACAAGGGCAATAGAGCAAAAGCACTTGTGTTTTTACATGCTAGCAGCAAGAAAATAGAAAATAATAATTTAAATATTATTCCACATGAAGTGTTATTTTAAAATATCAAATACCCAGAAATAAATCTAACAAAAGATTTAAAAACTTCTGTACTTCTAATGAATTCCACACTCCCACCTAAAACATTAGAGAAATTAAAGAAGACCTACATACATGGAAGTTTATACACAATTTTCATAGCTTGAAAGACTTGCTACCTTTAAGATGTCAGTTCTATTTGAATCAATCTACAGATCAATGCAATCATATTTGGTACCATATTCCCCTCTGTACAACAGTTGTTTCCTATCACAAACATGTAGGAATTACTGGCTAACCCACATTTTTTCTACTTTGTGTAGAAATGCTGATATTTTTATTCTATAAAGAATCTCAGAAAAACAAATATGAAAAAGAAAAACAAATTTCCCAGTGTGCTTCTCTACTTGACTCAGTGAGGTTACCTTATCACTCAGTAACTTCAGGTAATAAGAGAAATTGTTGGTAGAATGTGATCTAATACCATCCTCACTATGCTTTTTCTCATTTCAAAAAAGACATTTAAAAGATGACTCAATGTCATCTCTCAAAGAAGGCCATTTTACAACCAGCCTGCTTCAATGTTTTTATCTGACAGTGCTGGCCTTAGGATACTCTTTCAACACAATAAATTATTCCACACCAAAATTAAACCAAGTCACCAATACTAGGATAGAAAATGATGGCTATGGTTGTGAAATGCTTTTAATGGGAAATGGATGAGGAGCTTCTGTGAGGCATATTCCATGTACTAACTTGTTCTTTCCGTACTATGAGCCCTGAGGAAATAACTACTTTCTCTTTAAAATGGTACAGATGGAGAGAAATTAAAAAAACTTACCAAGGTTCACACCTGGAGTTTGGAGTAGAATTCAAGTTTTATAAGAGACGATGGCCCATTTATCTTTTGATATAAAACCTCTTGTCCTTATGCTATGAAAAAGAGGTCATTGATGGTGATTCATGATTCTGCACATGGAAGGCCCCACACTGCAATCTCTTCTCACTAAAATTACACTCCTAGGTTGCCAATGGGGATGAAGCCAAGAAATCTGAATTTAACAAGCACTCTGGGAAATAATAATAATTGTTATTATAATTTTAACAGTGTCTAACGTTTATTGAGCACACACTTCATAGGCATTATCTTTTCTAATTTTAGAGCACCACTAAATAGTGTTATTATTGCAATCACTAATACTATGCTACAGATGTGGCAATTCGCGGTGCTATAGCTATGAAGCCAACTTGTAACTACTACACTCAACACAACTCTTGAGTATTCATTGAGAAACCTCAGCCTAGACCTTCTCTAGCCAAGGACAACTCATAACTGAGAAGCCATGCTAAGATGGTTTTCTGAAACTAGGGATATAGGAAAGCCAAGAAATAACCAAAAATACACCAAAGAGGTAAATAGAAGGGAGTAAATAGAAGTGTCCACTGCTTTTCTCATTGCACTTAGCTGCGTGGGACTGATTCACTCTTATTGCTGCTTGTGTACTGGATTTGATGTGGCTGAGTTTCATCTAATTTATTCAGTGCTTAATTGTGCCAATTATACTGGTATAAATTTTTAAGAGAGGCATTGTCATAGATGATCTAGTCCCATATCCCTGTTATTTTAAAGATAGAGGAAAGCAGATCAAGACAAACAAAATGGTCATTTTCAGAATACACAACTAGTCATCCTCAAAACAGCAACAACTCAGGCTTCCTACCTCTTTATGTCGTGGTTCTTCTCTTTAATCTTGGAATCTGCCCAGCTCTGTATCCTCACATCAAACTTTCAGAAGTTTTTCATTCTAAATCAAACTACACATATCTCCAGAAAAAGGGTAGCATTTGAGCAAACTTGCACAAAAGGTAGAAATATTAAGCAAATATAAAGTTTTACATGCAAAACCCCACAATTTTCCTAAAGTCATAGAGGCCAGACTACTTCAGTACTGTGACTTTGTTAACAAGAGAGAAATGTTGGTTCGTAACTGCTGTAATTAGAAATACCCACATAGTTTCAGTTTCCAAATATGTTTCTTTTTTTAGGTGCAGATTTTATTTTATTTTATTTCATTAACTTATTTTTATTTGACAAATAATTGTTTATATTTATGGGGTACAATGAAATATTCTGATCTATGTATACCTTGTAGAAAGATTAAATGAATAGTGCTACTGGGTTGGAGAAAACATTTTGCTCACATGGTTTCTGAAAAGTCTTTTCTTCAGTGTTCAAATTAATCAAAGTCAAAATTGTAGTAAAATTGAACATTCACAGAGGAACCGTGAATGAGTTTAATTAGTGCTGACTTCAAAGAAAATCATAGGAATTTACCTGACAGAATTTAGTTCATAATCGAACAGACATAAAATTTTTTCTATTTTTACTTATGATTCACCCATAAAGAAATACATAACAGTGATTTTCCTCTGAGACCCTATTTATAATGAATTTGTCAATGTAAGCGAAGTTTAGTTTTCATATTTTTTCACTTCCCTACGACAGTCCTTGACATTCTCTATAGGAGACAAATTTTATTTACTACTCCTGGACAAATATCTGGCAGAGAATTATGGCAATTATGAATACTTCTAAGCTTAAATAATTGATAGTCATTTTTGCTTTATCCTGTTTTTATAACATTTCTAATTGAATAAAGAAAAAGAAAAGGCAATTTTAGGAAATTCTCCTTTTTCCCAGTCATTGTGCATGCATGCATGCTTGCATGTTTTCCGCCCCTTCTCTACAACATTTCTCTACAACATTTTAACCAGGTATATAACTTAAAACTAAGAAATCTTTAAGGAAGGAAAGAAGGAAGGAAGGAGGGGAGGAATGAAGGAAGGAAGGAAGGAACGAAGGAAGAAGGGAAGGAAGGAAGGAAGGATTAGGAGGATGGGAAAGGAAAAACTTATTATCATTACTTCCAGAAAATATTTTTTTTCTATATAGTACCCTAATGTAATCTACAGATAATTATGAAATTCATGAGAGAGTTGAACAAGTTTGTCAGATATCTAATCCACACAAGAAAAAAGTAAATTGTGTTTCTAATTATCAGTAATAGTTATATTATAAAATGTGTCATTTAAAATGGATACTACTTTTAATAGAAACAAAACTAAGATCCCCTTGAATAAAAATAATGGTGCAAGAACCTTAGAGAGAAAATCAGACAATTTTACTTTATAGCCATTAAGGATTACCTAAGTAAATATTATAAAAACTTCAACTTCTAATAATAAATTATATACTAATTTGTTATAATTCTAATAAACTCAGAAAGCATTTCTGGGAGGAGCATGACTGAAAATTGACAACTCAAATAATATATTCCTCAGAATAGCAAAGAGCCAATATTTATTAATACTTTTATAAAGGAAAATAATAAGACTTGGCTGCAGATATCAAGACTTATAATAAACGTATAGTAATAAAGACTATACCTGATTTTGGTTTTGTGCAGTTATAGGTAATTGAAGATGGTAGAGGATGGAAGACATATGGATAAATCCGTGTTTAATTTTTGATAGATTTTGATTTAAAATCAGTGGGAATAGAATGATGATTCAAAAGAATAGAACAATTAGTCAAATATAAGAGAGAATAAAAAGTATCACTTCATTATATTCACAAAAATAAGGTTTTAAACATTTAAGAGTTTAAATGTAAAAACTTTATAAAAGAATTAATATTATAGAATCTATATATGACAAAAACTTAACACCTTAGAAGAAACAAGTTAAAGGAAAGACATATAAATCTGAGCACACAAAAATAAAAAAACTCTATTTATTAAAAGCTACCGTAAGGAGAGTGAAAGCACAAAGCAAAAAATTAGAGAATATTTGTTATATGTAAACCTGACAAAATAACCAGAACACAAAATGAAGGTCTGTAAATCAATACAAGAGACTGACTTCACAATAGAAAGATGGGCAAAATGGATGAAAAGGGATTTCATAGACAAGAAAACAGAAATGTCCAGTGAATTTTTTTTTTTTTTTTTGAGACAAAGTCTTGCTCTTGTCACTCATGCTTGAGTTCAATGGCGCGATCTTGGCTCGCCGCAACCTCCGTCTCCCAGGTTGAAGCAATTCTCCTGCCTCAGCTTTCTGAGTAGCTGGGATTACAGGCACCTGCCACCATGCCAGGCTAAGTTTTGTATTTTTAATAGCGACGGGGTTTCACTATGTTGGCCAGGCTGGTCTCGAATTCCTGACCTCAGGCGATCCACTCGCCTTGGCCTCCCAAAGTGCTGGGATTACAGGCATGAGCCACCACGCCCGGCCCAGTGAACATTTGTTTAACCTCAAATGCAATAAGTGGAATGAGATTGAAAAACAAAATGAGCATAACTTTACCCTTATTCAATTGGGAAATGAAAAAATAATACACTTAAGATACCAGCCTATATCAAGTTTGGCAACATAAAACAAGAACACTGATAAAATGATAGGGTATACCTGAATCAAAGATGTTGAAATAATAATCCAAAGTTACATGGAAAATTTGATTACTTCTAATTCATAACTTCACAGTAAATATGTAAGAATATGTATAACCGAAATAAACTCTTGCACATGTATATCAGGAGAGGTGTGCCAGAAAGTGCAAAGCAGCATCATCCACAATAGAAGCAGCAATAACAGTTAGAAGACCAAAAAACAGAGAAGTAAATCATAGTGTAGTCAAATTGTAAAATAGTCTACAGCAATGCACAGGGGCTAACTATAGTTTCATGAAACAACATGGATATAAAATACAAAATATTGAAGAGAAAAGTCAAGTAATTTTGAATATTTATAGTAATTTCATTTACATGAATGTTAAAATACATAAAGCTAAAAATATTGTAAAGGAATGCATGTATTTGTGGTCACATGCTAAGAAAAAACAAAAAAAAATTAAGAGACAAAAAGTTTTTTTCTCTAAGTTGGATAGCGGTTCCTATGCTCAGAGAGAAGCTGACTGAAAATTACCAATTAAAATTATTGGTAATTTTCTGTTGTTAAACCAGTTTGTGTGTATATACCTGTTTGTTTCATTAACATTATTAATTAAACTGCAAATACATACTATAGATATATTATTTGTGTGCATAATGTAAAATATGTAAAAGGCCTTTTGATGGATGACATAAAAATTAAGCTTTTGCAGGAAGAAAAAACTACACACTAAAAAAGCTTATGATAGGATTTCATTTACAGAATGGCCAGACATGGGTAAAACTTTCCTATAAAGAAGATCAAGAAAATTATGATTAAAATATTCAGTGCGATGGTTTTCTTTTTATGAAGGGAAGAATTATGATCCAGAAGTGTCTTTCTTAGGCTGGATAGTAGTTTATTATATTGTCATTTTATCTTTAGACTTTATACACTCATATTATATATAGTCTATTATATGCATTTCATGATATAAACTTAAAAATAAAAGAATAGGAAAGAAAGAAGGAAGGAAGTCAGATCCAGGTCTTTTTACTTCAAAAGATGATGATATGTAAATGGAGGTGGTTCAAGCTGTTCATGTAATAATAAACAGTTTTCCAAAATAAATGTAGGTGTATCGCTTCCACCGTTACATCCTTCAATGAGTTCTCAAATTAGCAATTTATATTTGAAGTTTAATTATCTTGGGCAAGTCCATGTGCTTGTAATTCTGATTGATATTACATCCAATATAATACCTCCATATCGATTGTCCTTAGTTGTAAATTAGTGGTCAGTTTTTATTATTAGTAGGTCATACACTCCTTGGCTTTAAGCTTTCATTCTCCCAGACTTAAACTGGATCATGTCATATGTGAGGGAAAGTGAAATGTGTCGGATTTTTTTCCCAGAAACCTTGCTTATACAGTAAAATAGTTGTGCTGCTATTCTCTGAATTAGGGTACTCTAAAAGAAGACCTAATTTTGGGGGAAGACTATATGTTAGACTTTGTGACTCTTTTGTCTTCCTCAAGGACATTGTAATAGATTCCATCATCAACCTTTACTATGTCATCCATCTTCAGGTTGACTATGGAGTCCTGCTGGCTTCTAAGACTCCATCAGTCTAAATAATTCCTTACAAAGAGGAAGTCCTCACATTCTTAATGATGAGCATCTTAAACTGAATAAAGAGATAGTAAAGTGCCAAAAATCAATAAAATTGATATCAAATTAATTTCTATATAGAGAAAGCAATTCCCTTAATGCAATGTGACCAACTATGTATCAGGCTTTTCCTCTGGTGCATTTGCTTAATCTCCAAGTCACATGACCCTTTCATTTCCTCTTCACTGTCTGCTGATGTCTTCAGAGCTACACTTCTTACCTCCGGCTTCTTTCCCATCCAATTTATCCATGAATTTGCTGCCACATTAAGCTTCCTAGAACCTAAGGTAGCAGATGGGCTGCTATTCACTACTGGAGGAATGAACCAGGTGATTCAATCCATCTTGCTATAAACAGCTACCTTTTGTTTCTGAACTCCAAAAGCAAATTATCTGCATCTGTCTTAGGGTACTTGGAACATTCTACATTCTATTACACCTGGGCATCTCGACTATGAACTATGCGTGAATTTATGGTTCCTCTTGCTTTTAGTATATGGCTTACTGCCTGTCATTCTGCTTTATACATAGTTCATGCCCAGGGAAGTTTGGTTAAAAATACATTAATTAATTAATTAATTAGAGAATGAACTGATTTTTCTCATTTATTGATTCATCCATCCAACTACTTTTTGCTAAGTGTATAACATGTGTCAGTTACTGTGCTATATACTGGGAACAGAGCAGTCAGGAAGACAAATTTCTACCCTCTGGGGATTCACATTGTTATAGACTAAACTGAAATTTGGTAATACAATAAATAAATATATACGGACAAGTAGGAAAAAAGTCATAGATACTAACAGGTTAAGATAATAGGAAAATGAAAATGAAAGAATGGTGTGGGGGGATGATGGTGTGTAAGGCACCTATTGTAGATGATGTGACTGACATAGGCATCTATGCTTTCCAAAATGGTGATGTTTGAGCTGAGATGTGAATGTTGAGAAGTAGCCAGCCATGAGAAAATTTGGGAGACAAGCACTCTCGGCAGATGAACAGCAAGGGCCAGAACCCCATGCAGGAACCAGCTTGGAATTTTCATCAAGCAGACTTGGTGGTTCTAGATGGAGTGAAACAAATGTGTTATCTGAGGTGGTATGAATGACCAGGGCAAAGACTATACCACATGGGCCTTGTAGAGCAAGATAGGGGTTTGAGACATATTGTAGGAATGATAAAAAGCCATTAGAAGATTTTGAGCAGTGAGTGTTAAGAATGAATTGTGAAATTGTGGTAGGAAGAGGAGTTGTAGACTACTACATTAATCTGTCAGTGGCTTCAATTAGAATCGAAAGAGTAGTGACAGTGTGAGATGAATCAATACAGCCATTCATACTAAGGTAGAGCTGACAGCGTGGGCCAGTGGATTGACCTTTCTCAGCCCTAACTTCACGGGTCTGAGAATGTGAGAAATTGTGTTTAAGAAAAGTATCTAAGAAGAGGCACCACAGGGATCAATGTGGGGCTAGATAACATTGAATGCATACCCCGCAACCCCAGCAGAAACAGAAAAAAATGATATTTTAGAGCTAAATTATAATATCAATATATTTGAAATAAAATCAGTGATGCTCAACTGTTTCTAAAAAGAAGACATACCTCTATTACTTGTCTGGAAATGTATTAAACTTTTAACTGATCTACACCTGGGAATTTGGTAAACCATAAAACTATTGAAGGAAAAATAATCTCAAAGGTCAAATCAGCAGTGATCTTAAAAGAATAATTCTCAGCTTAAGGACATTTTTTTTTCTAAACCCGGCAAAATAACTGTTACTTCTGTGAAAGATACATTAAACTTTTTTAGCTGAATGTCACTGAACATTTATTGAGCCCTGATTCTCTGTTTGCCAAGTACTTTTCTGATTAAAAATGCATACTCATAGCAGGAGATCTTAACCTGGAGCCCATGGATGGGCTTCAAGTCACCATTAAATCTCTGCATTTCTGTGCAAATGTTCATTTAAATTTGCTAAGGGAAGGTCATCATGTTTGACTAAATTACCCAAGAGCTTTATGATACCATAAAGGGTAAGTACCCTTGGCCTACAGAGAGAGAAAGTAATGTCAGTTACTTTTTAATCCTTACCTTCTCTCAAAAGCGAGATGAGAAAGGCCACTTCAGGTTCTCTTTTGTCCCTTAGCTCTTCTTACACTGGTCTTTTTATTCAGTGTTGAACTTAGCTGTAATTATGTTACAACCTGTGTTAGAGCTTTCTTTTCCCGTGCTGCTATAACTCTACCATGGTAGCTGACTCAAACCCTTGGTGGCTTCCACAATTTGCATGCCAATTTTGATCTTCCGTGAAAGTCATGTGCCCATCTCATTCATCCCCAACGTCAACTTTATACTTAGACTTCTTTTGAAATAGAGGAAAATGCACTGTGCGAAGTAGGGGCATGAGGTTGAGGGAATAGTCATGTGTTGCCATATTCCTTCCTAATTTTCCCAGCCCTAGATAGAACTAGATGGATCTATGAAATCTAATTGTAATTTTTGGTAAACTATTATCGAATACTTTGTTTGTATTAGACAAATTCAGATGTTGCCTTATTTAATTCTCACAGAAGAAAAGAGAGTCACTTCTCACAAAAGATTGAGAGTTAAGTCTTGCAGATGAGAGTTGGTACTGAGAAACTTGCTTGGACCTATTCCAATTAGCACTATTCATTTGTTAAAAGAAGAAATTGCGCTAGGAAATTAATAGCATTATTACAATAAATCTCTAAAAGAGTACCTACATTTTGGGTTGTTATCCTTATTAAAAATTAGGAAACAGAGGACCAAAGGCAGTAAATAACATGTTGAAGCCTAGCTGGCCAATAGTGAAATGATTCAAACCAATTCTAAAATGTATGCTCTTCCTCCTACAAATGAAACCTCGTCTCTTGACTATCGAATTAATGTCCTTTCCACTACTTATGATAGTTTTCACTCACATTTAAATATCTCAATTTGAAGTCATATAGTCATACACATTAATTTATTAAAGTTTTGCAGCTTTTTAAATACAAAAACCAAGTTAACATACATCCTAAATTTCACAGATCTGGTAACAGAAAAATCATCTGATTTTTAATCCAATGCTCTTTCTATAATGTAGCCACGCTTTTCATCTAATGAGCAAAAATAGAAACTATCTCAAAAACAAATAAACTTTGAAGAATATTTTTACAATGCAGCCTGTGCAGTTTTTAAAACCTACCTTCACTGTTTCCCAAGTCAAAATAATTGATGCAGTCATTTGGTAGAGCACCTCTCAGCAAACTGTTTTCCAAGCTATTTCACATCTGGCCCTTCTCACAGATGTTTCTAGTAGTAAACATAGCTGAAGAGAAATAAGATTAAGATAACAGCAAGAATCTGAGATTGGAAACGTGCCCTGTAATTTATTTTCAGTCTATAGTTTTTTATTTAGCAGCAGACATTCTAGAAATATTGTTACCAAGAATATAGAAAGATTTTCAAAACTTTCAGAGCGGTGATTGTCTGAAATCAGAATTGCATGCATATGGAATCACATGAGTGCTCTTTAATAAGTAATAGCCATGGAATAAATCACATAAAGGGTGGTGATTAGTTTAGCTATCATTATTCACTCATGAAAAGTGCTATATTAGTTTTTTTTTGCTTTCATAACAAACTATAAACCTTGTAGCTTAGAACAACACCAATTTATTACTTACAGTTCTGCAGGTCAGAAGTCTGACATGAGTCTCCCTTGGTGTTCCCCTCTAGAGGCTGTAAGGAAGAATAAGTTTCCTTGCATTTTCAGCTTCTAGAGGTTGCCAGCATTCCTTGGCTCATGGCTTTCTAACTCAATTTTCTAAGCCTGTAACAGTAGGTTGAATAAATCTCAAATCATATCTCTCTGACTGCCTCTTCTGCCTCCCACTTCCGTTTTTAAGGACTCTTATAATTACGTCTGGATTATCCAGAGCAATCTTCCTTGGTTAAGATCAGCTAATTAACAATTTTAATTCAATCTTAACACTAATTTCCCTTTGCCTTGTGATGTAACATATTCATAGGTTCTGAGGATAAAGATGTGGACATCTTTGGGGGACTGTTTCTGCTTTCTACAGATATTAAACAGGAATATACTATTCACATCATATGAAATTCCCCCATTCAACCCAGCCAGTTACAAATGTTTGCTAAGTGGTAGCTCTGCAAATACTCGACTGAGGAGATATAATTCTGAGCTCTTTTCTTGTCAATGTGGGTTAGCTTATTTTAGCCTTGTTCACTGAAGGTATGAAGAATGCCAGTTTATTTTCATATTCAGCCTAAATCAATGCTCTCTACAACCCAGCCTAAACCAATATTCTACTCTCATTCAACTTCCCTAAATTTCCTAAACAAGCCACATCACACATTGATTAAAAGTTTTTTTGACACACTGAATACCTTATAATTGTCATTTAGCTTCATTCAACAGCATTTATTGGATACCTTTTATTTGTTGGGAACATAAAACAACCAAAAATTTCACTCTCTATGGAGCTTGCCTTCTGTGGCGATTGAGGGGAAACGGATGAAAATTAAATACAATAAATTAGTAGTATGTTAGAAGGCCATAAAATAGGAAAAGTGAAGTTTTAAAAAAATGAAACATGCTATAGCAGTTGCTGAGCTAGGTGAGGGATGGGCTGTTGAAATTTTAAACAGGAAGTCAGCAGAGCCTTTGCAAGAAGGCAATATCTGGACAAAAATCTTGGTGTAGAGGAAGCTGTTCATGTGGATAGCTGGAAGGAGAGCGTTTGGTGACATGACTATGGAAAGAGGCTTCTGAAAATAAAAACAACCTCTTTTGGCATCACTTGTTCAGATTTTGATTGGGTTCCCAGTTTTACATCCAAATTATTAGGATTTCTATGATCGATGAGAAATCTGGGATTTGGGAGATGGAAAAGATTTAGGGACCAACTCCAAGGACAGAGAGGATTCAGAGGTCTCAAGGAAACAGCAGCAGCCAAGTGAGACCAGAGAGCAGTCCTTGCAAGGAAGCCAGGGTTACTGAGCAAAGGAGCGGGGGCAGAGACAGCCAACTAAGATGCTTCATTTTTGTTTTTGAAGGTTCTTATAAATATTTAGCAAAGTGACTGGGAATCTAATCTAGGATCAGAAATATGAAAAATTATGAGCATCTGGACATTATAATACCCTGAAGAAGTGGATCCTCTGTGATCATCAATAAGTGAGAAAAACATCAGAGGCTCGGAGTCAAGCTGGGTCCTGTTCAGATGGCGGCTGGGAGTCTGGACAGGTTTGCCATGCACAACAGAAAGAATCCATACTCTCCAACCCTCCAGCTTTTCGTTTCCACTGTATCCATTTACCTAGTATCTCCTTTCCTCTCATCATCATCCTTACTGGTCTGCTGTAAATCTGTCCCCTTCCGAAACCTAATTCTATCAACATTTCTCACCCACTTAAAAAATGCCAGTAGCTCCAAATTGCTCTCTGAATTTAGCATAAACTTCTTAATATTGCATTCAACTGCTTCCATAATCTAGCACCCATTGACAATGTCCACATTATCACAATTGACATTCTAGGCATTTTACTCTCCAGTCATACACATGATGGGTTTCCAAACTATGCCTCACTTCTCACCAATCCATGACTTTGCTCCTCACGCTTTTGCTGTCTATCAAAGTACTTCGCTACTTCAAAGCCCAGTGAAAATGTGATTTCTTCTGGGATGTAATTTCTCATCTTCTCAGACAAAATCATCTCTAACCTCAGGATGTTTTTATCTCTGTTATGACTGCACATTGCCATTATAAGTTCCCTCAAGGCAGGGACCTATTTTACTCATTTTTATAGCTTTCCAACATCTAGCACAATCGTTAGAGAGTGAACTGTAAGAGTTTTCTTAAATGAAGAAATGAAAGAATAAATGCCAATAACGGGTAGAATATTGCCTTCATTCTAAATCTGAAATCCAGAGTAATTTAAAAGTAATAAAGACAGCTCATTCTAATGATTATAATGTGACCAATTATTCAATCTTCGTTTTAATCTAAGTTAATTTATCTTTATTTTCAAAAAAATTAAATACACTATATTGAGTATGTGCTAATGACATTTACACTCTTGTAAATTCTTGTTTAGTTAAGCTGATATTTGCACATCCACTGCCACTTTATAAATTTTTCCTGTCAGAAATGTTTTAACTTATTGCTATCTTTCATGTCTTAGCTTCTTATTTCTGTTGTGAATTAAAGGATATCTAGGAATTTAAAATAAAAGTGTACCTGATAAAATAGCAGCTTCGTTTTAAGACTAATTAAATAAAAAGATGGATAAAAACAGCCAATTAGCAGACATTTAACATACTTGCTCAATTATTTATCTCCAATATTAGCAACCCTCCACTTTCTATTGTAGATGTTGTCATTAGTAATATGTTTCTAAGATGCAGATATTACAGCTCAACAAATTAAATAATTTGCCAAAGGTCACGCAGCTTCTAAGAGACAGAAAAACGACTTCTAGTCAGTAGATTGACTCTAGAGTCTCTAATTTTTTCTCACTTCTTGATCACAGAGGATCCACTTTATCAGGGAATTATGATGTCCAGATGCTCAGGATTGTCCACGTTTCCTATCTAGATGAGTTTCCCAAGGTTACTTTGCTAACTATTTACAAAAGCTTTCACAGACAAAACTTGAATCAAGGATTATTGAAAGCACTTTTCAATGGGTGCCAGTGGTGTAATGGCCAGTTATTAATGATTTCTAAATTAGCTGTGAGATTGCCTTAAATCCCAAAGATAGTTATCATTAGTGATTTACTTGTAATGAAATCTAGTATAATGCAACGGAATTCTATTAAGTGGCATTCACTTAATAGATTGATTTATTTTGGATAAAATAAATTTAAGATATTCTGTTCATTTCACTGATAAAGTATACCTAGAATGTAGAGCTGGAAAGTACTTGAAATATCATGTCATCAAGGTCCTTGTTTGGTGGATGAAAGCAGAGGCTCAAGAGGATAAATGACCTGTCCAAGGTCAACATGCTTGCCATTCTGCGGCTGGGCCCAGAGCCAGCCATCTTCCCTCTATGACACTTGGCTCATTTTCCCCCCAAAGTCCTGCCAGAAACAAGTAAATTATCGAAAACTAGTTTAATTCCTAGTGGTGATAGTTACTTCCCTTAATAACCTAATTAACTGTGTTGCCAATTCATGTCGGTTTACAAATCTTATGCAAGCTGAAATTCTTATACAAGTTGCCTGCCTGCATCTAATTTTTGAGATTTGTTTTCTGTCTTTTTCTTTAAAGACAGAAGAAGAGGCCAGGTGTGGTGGCTCACGCCTGTCATCCCAGCACTTTGGGAGGCTGAGGCGGGCAGATCACCTGAGGTCGGGAGTTTGAGATCAGCCTGACCAACATGGAGAAAGCCCATCTCTGGTAAAAATACAAAATTAGCCGGGTGTGATGGCGCATGCCTGTAATCCCAGCTACTCGGGGGGCTGAGGCAGGAGAATCACTTGAACCCAGGAGGTGAAGGTTGTGGTGAGCCGACATCACACCACTGCACAGCCTGGGCAACAAGAGAAAAAATCTGTCAAAAAAAAAAAAAAAAAGAAGAAGAAATGGGTTCAAACTATGAGTTATTTATAGTCATTACTTTTACTCCTCTACGCATGAATTACTAAGCCTATTTTTTCCTCGATACCTTCTTTACCTTGACATATTTTTAAAATGTATACTTTCTTTTCCTTTTGTTGTTATAAATAGTAGTTAATGTTATGCTTCCATTTTGTGGCTTTAAAATTTTTCTCCATAAAAACTAAATATTCGGTACTGATCTCTAATGTGTCCTTTCTCAGTTTAAATTGTTATTTATTATACCTTGAATGATATAATGCTCAAGTGGATGGGCTCTGAGGACAAACATCCCAAGTTTCTCTCCTGGATTCAAAGGTGCTAGCTATCTTAGAGAACTTAATGAGTTATTTGTGTTTCATTTCTCTCACACTTGAAATGGAAAGAGTATTTATAAAGTTTTGGTAAGGGTTAATGAGAAATTCATATAGAGTGATAGACGTAATGCCTAGTATTGTGTAAGAACTGAGTAATTTAATGTGTAATAATAGTAGTTAAAGTAATTCAAATTATTGACTTTGACTTTTTTCTAAAAGTATCACTATGAGTATTTTATTTTTTTAGAGAAAAACTATTTAATTATGGGTGAAAAATAAGAATTGGAGGGCATTTCTGGTTACTACTAGAAGAAATTAATAAAGTACCTATAAATATAGAGGAAATGGGGACTATTGCCATGCAACCATGATGAAGTAACTAGTACAGTATTTGCTCATCCACCATAAAGACTATAAAATGGAGCAATATATATGAGGCAATTGGATTCATACATCAGATTGCAGGCAGCACAGCTATGAGATACTTGAGAGAATGGGAACATGTAAACTGGGGGCCATGTTTGCCTGGGCTATCTGATGGAAGACACTGGCTGCTGTGGCACAGGGAAGTGGAGCCCAAGGCAAGAGTTCTGGGAAGGTGGATGTTCAGGGCAGCTGAAGAGACCGGTATTTGCAAAGAATATGAGAAAAAATAGAGTGGCGCAGAGGAACTTGTGGACGTCTATGATACTCAAGAAGTGCCAAGGGAAGAGCACTGGCTTTGGAGTCAGTCAAGCATAGGTAATTTGGGCTGAGAGCTGAGGAGTGCATGCATCGTTTGAAGCTCCCTAAGACCATCAGAAAGTGCCACTTGTCGGGTTCAGAGATAAATAGAAATATCATAAGACAAGAAATTCTAAGAGATACTGTATTGCCAAGCCAGCCACAAAAAGAGGCCATTTTGGGACCCTTGGGCATTAAGTTGAGAAGTCAGAAATGTAATGATTTAAGAGTAAAAGCTCTGCTCTATAGTTAAAAAAAACATATCTTGTCCAGGCGCAGTGGCTCAAGCCTATAATCCCAGCACTTTGGGAGCCTGAGGTGGGTGGATCAACTGAAGTAAGGAGTTCAAGACCAGCCTGGCCAACATGGTGAAACCCTGTCTCTACTAAAAATACAAAAATTAGCTGGGCATGGTGGCACATGCCTATAATCCCAGCTACTCAGGAGACTGAAGCAGAGAATTGCTTGAGCTCGGGAGGTGGAGGTTGCAGTCAGCTGAGATCAAGCCACTGCACTCCAGCCTGGGAGCCTGAGAGAGACTGTCTCAAAACAAAAGCAAAAACAAAACAAAACAAAACAAAAACATATCCTAAGACTAAGGAGAAAAGAAACAGACTCACTCTAACAAAAAATAGAAGCACACCTGGTAGGATCAAAATTATATGCCAGGAATTCATCCACCTGTGAGAACATAATACAACACCCATTCCATGTGAACACCACAATCCAGTCTCCTTACAATGTCTAGAAAATCAAGAAAAGGTAGCAATGAAAACAGACTCTGAGCTGAACCAGATGTTGGAGTCAGTTGAAGAAGACATTGAAGAAGCTGTCATTAATAACTTCTTCAAGGACTTAAGAGGAAAAATGGTTAACACTGAGGAAAAATAGAGAACCTCATCAGAAAAAAGAAAACTATATAATAAAGAACAAATAAAAATTCTAGAAATGATAAACTTCTGAAATTTAAAAAAAATGAAAAACAAACAGGCAACAACAAATAAAACACTGGATGAACTTAACAGCACGTTGAAAATGGAAAAGAAAAGTTTGTATTTAAATGCAAATCAGTAGAATTATCTCATGTGAAGTACAGAGAAATACAGGTGGGAATAATGAATAGGTGCCCCGGTGGACACTATCATTGTTCTAACTTGCTTTTAATTGTTGTTCCAAGAGGAAAGAAAAAGAGAATGGAACAAAAAAATACATATTTAAAACATGATGGCCACAAATTTTTAATATATGGTAGATGTGATAGTTCATGTTAACACTCGCTGATGAGGTATTGGCAATAGCAAGGGAGGGTGAAGGACTACCTTTCATGCGTGTCCGTGTGAAGAGACCACCAAACAGGCTTTGTGTGAGCAACATGGCTGTTTATTTCACCTGGGTGCAGGTGGGCTGAGTCTGAAAAGAGAGGCAGCAAAGGGTGGTGGATTATCATTAGTTCTTATAGGTTTTGGGGTAGGCGGTGAAGTTAAGAGCAATGTTTTGCAGGCAGGGGTGGATCTCACAAAGTACATTCTCAAGGGTGGGAAGAATTACAAAGAACCTTCTTAAGGGTGGGGGAAATTATAAAGAACCTTCTTAAGGGTGGCGGAGATTACAAAGTACATTGATCAGTGAGGGTGGGGCAGAAACAAATCACAATGGTGGAATGTCATCAGCTAAGGTTATTTTTACTTCTTTTGTGGATCTTCAGTTACTTCAGGCCATCTGGATGTATACATGCAAGTCACAGGGGATGTGATGGCTTGGCTTGGGCTCAGAGGCCTGACATTCGTACCTTCTTATATTAATAAGAAAAATAAAACAAAATAGTGTTGACGTCTTGGGGTGGCGAAAATTTTTGGGGGTGGTATGGAGAGAGAATGGATGATGTTTCTCAGGGCTGCTTCAAGCGGGATTAGGGGCGGCGTGGGAACCTAGAGTGGGAGAGATTAAGCTGAAGGAAGATTTTGTGGTAAGGGTTGATATTGTGGGGTTTTTAGAAGAAACATTTGTCATTTAGAATTATTGGTGATGGCCTGGATATGGTTTTGTATGAATTGAAAAACTAAATGGAATAAGAGAAGGAGAAAAACAGGTATAAAAGGTCTAAGAATTGGGAGGACCTAGGACATCTGATAAGAGAGTGCCTAAGGAGATTCAGCATAGTCCTGCCAGCAAAGATTATTTATTTACCTCAAGAGTTAAGAGTGGCAGTTTGGGGATAGCATGAGGAGATATCAGCTGTGATGGCTTGGGAAAACAGTGTAAACCGGCAGTGTAAACAAGAGCAGGGCATGTATGAGTAGTTGAGAACAGAGAATAGGAGTATGACTAGACAGAAAATAGTAAGGATGACAAGTTTTTTTGGGGGGCACAGTCTAAGTTGGTCTGGTGTCTGGAATGAGACTGGGGCCTAATAAAAAGAAGCTCAAATGGGCTGTACCTGTAGCATTCTGAGGACAGGTCTGACTTCTGAGAAGGGAAAGTGGTAAAAGTATTGTCCAGTCCTTTTTAAGTTGGTGGCTGAGCTTGGTGAGGTGTGTTTTTAAAAGACCTTTAGTCCGTTCTACTTTTCCTGAAGACGGAGGACTGTAAGGGATATAAAGGTTTCACTGAATACTAAGAGCCTGAAAAACTGCTTGGCTGATTTGACTAATAAAGGCTGGTCTGTTATCAGACTGTATAGAGGTGGGAAGGCTAAACTGAGGAATTATGTCGGACAGGAGGGAAGAAATGACTGTGGTGGCCTTCTCAGACCCTGTAGGAAAGGACTTTTCCTTTCCTACAGGAAATTATGCTGAGATAGGTAATAGATGAGGATGAATTTGGGCTTGACTGAAGTAGTGGGGGCTGTCTGTGAAGTGCGGCAGTACAGCCCAGGTAATTTGCTGAGCCTAATGGGTGTCAGGGTCAGTCCAAGTGAAAGCAAAGAGAGGCTGGGAGGAAGGGTGCAAAGGAATAGTAAAGAAAGCACGTTTGAGATCTAGAACAGAATAATGGGTAGTAGAGGGAGGTATCCAGTGAAAGTGTCTACCTAGACTAAGAGGTATTTTAGTTATCTGACTCGGGGCAATTTGCCAGTCCTGGGTGGGGGCAAATCCTCAAGCTTGATGTGTAGGGAAGGGAGGGGGCCTGAATAATCCCTGAGGAGTAGTAGAATAACAGATGGAACACTGAGAAGTTATTTCCTTGAGGGTAGATTTCCACGATGGAAAGGAAATGAGAAGTTCTAAGAGGCAGGCTAGTGGCTTGTACTATAGCATAGCCTGCCTTTGCTGGTGTGTGGCGATTAGGCCTGGTGGAACTGCCATCAATAAATCAAGCGTGATCAGAGTGAGGAACAGGAAAGAAGGAAATATGGGGAAATGGGGTGAATGTCAGGTGGATCAGAGAGATACAGTCATGGGGGTCAGGTGTGGTATCAGGAATAATGTGGGAGGCCAGATTGAAGTCTGGGCCAGGAACAATGGTGATTGTGGGACTTAACAAAAATTGAGCACAGCTGAAGGAGCCAGGGAGCAGAAAGTATATGCATCAGGTATGAGGAAGAAAATAGATTTTGGAAGTTATGAGAAATGTAGAGAGAGTTGAGCATTGTTTGTGATTTTTAGGGCCTCTAAAAGTATTAAAACAGTGGCAGCCGCTGCACGCAGACCTGAGGGCTAGGCTAAAACACTAAGGTCAAGTTGTTTGGACAGAAAGGCTACAGAGTGCGGTCCTGGCTCTTGTGTAAGAATTCTGACCGCACTAACCATGCCTAGGAAGGAAAGGAGTTGTTGTTTTGCAGAAGGTGCTGGGGTTTGAGAGATCAGTCAGACACGATTGGCAGGGAGAGCACATGTGTTTTTATGAGAATTATGCCGAGATAGGTAATAGATGAGGATGAAATTTGGGCTTGACTGAAGTAATGGGGGCTGTCTGTGAAGCCTTGCAGCAGTACAGCCCAGGTGATTTGCTGAGCCTAATGGGTGTCAGGGTCAGTCCAAGTGAAAGCCAAGAGAGGATGGGATTAAGGGCGCAAAGGAATAGTAAAGAAAGCATGTTTGAGATGTAGAACAGAATAATGGGTAGTAGAGGGAGGTATTGAGGATAGGAGAGTATATGGGTTTGGCACCATGGGGTGGATAGGCAAAACAATTTGGTTGATAAGGTGCAGATCCTGAACTAACTTGTAAGCTTTGTCTGGTTTTAGGACAGGTAAAATGGGGGAATGGTAAGGAAAGTTTATAACCTTTAAAAGGCCATGTTGTAGCAGGCGAGTGATAACAGGCTTTAATCTTTTTAAAGTGTGCTGTGGGATGGGATATTGGCATTGAGCAGGGTAAGGGTGATTAGGTTTTAATGGGATGGTAATGGGCATGTGATCGGTTGCCAGGGAAGGAGTAGAGATGTCCTATACTTGTGGGTTAAGTTGGGGGGATACGAGAGGAAGACGCAAAGGAGGCTTTGGGTTGGGGAGAAGGGTGGCAATGAGATGTGGCTGTAGCCCAGGAATAGTCAGGGAAGCAGATAATTTAGTTAAAGTGTCTCAGCCTAATAAGGGAACTGGGCAGGTGGGGATAATTAAAAAAGGAGTGCTTAAAAGAGTATTTTCTAAGTTGGCACCAGAGTTGGGGAGTTTTAAGAGGTTTAGAAGCCTGGCCGTCAATACCTACAGCAGTTATGGAGGCAAGGGAAACAGGCCTTTGAAAAGAAGGTAATGTGGAGTGGGTAGCCTCCGTATTAAGAAGGGGAAGGGCTTACCTTCCACTGTGAGAGTTACCTGAAGCTTGGCGTCCATGATGGTTTAGGGGGCTTCCAAGGCAATCGGGCAGTGTCAGTCTTCAGCCGCTAAGCTGAGAAGATCTGGGAAGGAGTCAGAGAGCCTTGGGCCAGAGTTCCAGGGGCTCTGGGAGTGGCTGCCAGGTGAGTTAAAGAGTCCGATTTTCAGTGGGGTCCTACACAGATGGGACGTGGCTTAGGAGGAATCCCAGGCTGCGGGCATTCCTTGGCCCAGTGGCCAGATTTGCGGCATGTGTAGCAAGCTCCTGGGGAAGGAGGTTCTGGAGGAATGCCTGGCCACTGCGGTTCAGGCGTTTGGAAGTTCTTGTGTGCTGGAGATGTGGCTGGGGTTTGTCTCACAGTGGAGGTGAGGAATTGCAACTTTTTTCTATTATTGTACACCTTGAAGGTGAGGTTAATTAAGTCCTCTTGTGGGGTTTGAGGGCCAGATTCTAATTTTTGGAGTTTTATTTCATGTCGGGAGCAGATTGGGTAATAAAATGTATATTGAGAATAAGACGGCCTTTTGACCTTTTAGGGTCTAGGGCTGTAAAGCATCTCTGGGTTGCTGCCAAACGAGCCATGAACAGCTGGATGTTTATATTTGATGAAAAAGAGCCTAAACGCTATATGATTTGGGATAAAGAAAAAGGAACATTAACCTTGACTATGCCTTTAGCTCCAGCCACCTTTTTAAGAATAAATTGCTGGGCAGGTGGGGGAGGGCTAGTCACAGAACGAAACTGTAAGCCGGACCAGGTGTGAGGAGGAGAGGTGATAAAAGGATTATAGGGTGGAGGAGCAGAGGCTGAGGAAGAATTGGGACCTAGCTCAGCCTGGCGAGGAGGGGAGAGGTCAGATGGGTCTGTAGAAAAGAATGATTAGAAAGACTCAGCAACGCTTGGGGTTGGGACTGAGGGGACAGGCAGGAGGGAAAGAAGGAAGATTTGGGAAGAGTTGCATTGGGCACAGAGACTAGGAAGGGACTGATGTGTAAAAGAATGCCTGGACATCAGGCACCTCAGACTGTTTGCCTACTTTATGACAATAATTCTTTAGATCTTGCAGGATGGAAAAATTCAAAGTGCTGTTTTCTGGCTATTTGGAACTACTGTGGAGTTTGTATTGGGGTCAAGCGGCATTGCAGAAGAAAATAAGGTGTTTAGGTTTTAGGTCAGGTATGAGATGAAGAGATTTTAAGTTCTTGAGAACATAGGCTAAGGGAGAAGAAGGAGGAATGGAGGGTGGAAGGTTGCCCATAGTGAAGGAGGCAAACCCGGAGAGAAGAGAGCATTGAGACATGGAAGGAAGGGGTTTGGGGGTTCTTACCCTCCAGAAAAGTGGGAAAGGGGTCAGGATGCAGAAATAAGGGATTGCGGCACAGAGATACGAGGTCGGGGTGCAGAAATAAGGGATTGGGGCACAGAGATAAGAGGTTGGGGTATGGAAATAAGGGATTGGGGGTTCTTGCCCCCTAGAAAAGTGGGACTTGCCGCTAAGGGTGAAGGAGAAGGGGTTGAGGGGTTCTTTCCCCTGCCCAAGAAAATCACAGAAGGGGTAGAGACACGGAGAGAAGGGGTTGGGGTACTTGCCCCTCCCCCACAAAAGCGGGACTTGCTGCTAAGGGTGAAGGACCAAGGCAGGCGTCCCTGCGTGGTCTGACACCTCTGAAATGTGGGTGAATAATCAGAGCGGCATCCCTGCAATGATTAAACACCAAGGGAAGGCTGCCCTCCCAGTCCGTGACCGGCGTCGGAGTTTTGGGTCCATGGATAAAACGTGTCTCCTTTGTCTCTACCAGAAAATGAAAGGAATTGAAATTAAGAGAAGAGAGAGATTGAAGAGTGGCACCAAGATTGAAAGGAGAAAGAGGTTGAGGGATAGTGAGGGAAGTTGGAGAAGAGAATAAAAAGAGGCCGCTTACCAGATTTGAAATTGGTGAGATGTTTCTTCGGCTGGTTGGTCTGAGGACCTGAGGTCATAGGTGAATCTTTCTCATGGAGCAAAGAGCAGGAGGACAGGGGATTGATCTCCCAAGGGAGGTACCCCGATCCGAGTCATGGCACCAAATTTCATGCGTGTCCGTGTGAAGAGACCACCAAACAGGCTTTGTGTGAGAAACATGGCTGTTTATTTCACCTGGGTGCAGGCGGGCTGAGTCCGAAAAGAGAGTCAGCAAAGGGTGGTGGATTATCATTAGTTGTTATAGGTTTTGGGATAGGCGGTGAAGTTAAGAGCAATGTTTTGCAGGGGTGGATCTCACAAAGTACATTACATCCTCAAGGGTGGGAAGAATTACAAAGAACCTTCTTAAGGGTGGGGGAAATTATAAAGAACCTCCTTAAGGGTGGTGGAGATTACAAAGTACATTGATCAGTGAGGGTGGGGCAGAAACAAATCACAATGGTGGAATGTCATCGGTTAAGGTTATTTTTACTTCTTTTGTGGATCTTCAGTTACTTCAGGCCATCTGGATGTATACATGCAAGTCACAGGGGATGTGATGGCTTGGCTTGGGCTCAGAGGCCTGACACTACCTGCAGACAAAAACTTGCTATGGAACCAGGCAGGAAAAATTAGGAGGGTGTGCTTCCATACCTCATAGGTCATGAGATGATGACAGAGCAGGCCTTCTTTAGGCTTCCCAGAACCTCTACAGGGGAACTCTACTGAACCCTACTGACAGAGTTTTTGGCTGTTTATGTTCTGAAAGAAATGTCTAGATGTAGATTCTGAGATTAGGACAAGCAGTAGTTCTCAGCAACTACAGGCCCCAAACCCTGATGTAGGAATTTTAGAAGGGTAAAAATATAAAGGAAAATTTATATTTTAAAGTAGTAGGATAGGAGGAGAAGACAAAGAAAATTAATTTGTATCTTATTTCTCATGAAAGATAAGCACTTGGTATAAAGGTTGACATTTGAATTAATGTGTGCTACTGTGATGAGTGTGTGTTTGCTTCACCCAGTTTTATCTGAATGATACTTTACATAATAACTTGAGACCCACAGAATATAGAACTTCTCATATTTTCCTCTATGGCAAAAGCAGCTCCATTATTTTTCTTGTAAGGCTCTCACCTTTCCAAGATCTGCAGAACTATAACTGGCCAACCAGTGCCTTTTTTATTATATGGAAGTGTTTTCTTTATTTCTAGATCTTGAAATAATTTCTTAAAGTAGCAATGGTGTAGCTGATGAAGTTTTTGTTTTTTTGTTTTGTTTTGTTTTGTTTTTCATTTTTAGACACTGTCCTCAACTGAGGCAATATAATACATTGACTAGGGCCTGTGATTTTATTATGGAATGTTCTCCTGTGCTCACAGGAAGAGTAAATGTGATATTTTCAGGTTCTATCTTTTCCAGCTTATGATACCCTTTAATATTAACAAAACATGGTAGTGCTTAGGTTTGGTTGATGAACTGAAATGATTTGTTTTCACTCTCATTATGAAATATGACATAGTGATATGTGGTCATCAAGCTTAACCAGGTAGGAATATTTAACACCTTCAATTCTATAATGGTTAATTTTATGTGTCAACTTGACTGGTTTGAGAAATGCCCAGATAGCTAGTGAAACAACATGTCTAGGTGTGTCTGTGAGAGTGTTTTTGAAAGAGATTTGCATCTAAATAGGTAGACTGAATAAAGAGGACCACCCTCACCCACGCCTGGGGATCATTCAATCCCTGTAGGGACTAAATAGAAGACAAAGGTCAAGAGGGGGCAAGTTTCCTTTCTGTGTGTACAGGAGGACATCCATTTTCTCCTGTCCTCAGACACTGGAGCTTTCGGTTACCCGGGAGTTCAGCAAGAAAGAAAACTTACATTTATGGAGTACATGTTATGTATATATTATTATTGAGTTTGTTCCTCCCCCTGCCAAAAATAACCAATAACAAAAGGGTGGTACTATCATTTCCTCATTGGGAAAATTGAGACTAGATAATATTCAGGTAATTTGTCCAAGATTCTAGAAAGTTTTGGTTAAGGACTTAAGTGTGGGTTTGAGCCTAGGTCTGTTTGATTATCAAACCTGTTATTTACATTATCAATTATTCAACTCAGAGAGTCAATGAGAATAAAAGTAGATGGATATATTATATCCATGTATATTTCACCTCTTTTAATTCCTCTATGATAGTATTATTTCAGTTCAAGCTCCCTCAGACTAAAAAATGTTCATTATAAGAAAGTTATTTTTCATAAAATGTGTTGAATGATGTCTAACAGAGCTCATATGTCCCATATTTATAAATCTTTACATATATATATCAATCTACACTGAAAGTCTGAAGAACATAACCATATTTCTCTCTTCATTAAATAAGAGAACAGAGGAATGTGAGTATTGAAGTAGAAGTGAGAGAGCAAATATTAAAAACCTATTAGTCCCTAGATTAAAATGAAAAATCTAGTATGACCTCCAATTAAAATGCTCGAATTTTAGCTATTGAATATGGGAATCATTTATTAAAGTATGACCACCAAGGTCATAATAACCTCCCTTAAAATATAGTCCTTATAACTTGCATTTGGTTATGTAAGTGTAAAGTAATATTTAACCCACTTTTACACACTTATAACCATTATGAAGTTTGAACTACTGACCTTAAGCAAATGGTCCATTATTAAATGCATTGTTTAGAAAATGTCTTTGAAATGCAGACATCATCACAAGATAGGCAGCTAAATATTAAGATTGGGAGAGAGGATAATAGACACATAACATTCCAGGATTGCTAGGATTAAATAGTATGTTATTCTTACCTGGACAATTTCACTTACCTGCAAAGATGGATGAGATCTAGGAAGCATAAGCTTCAAATAATTTGTTTTTCTTTCTTATAGCAAAGGATTTTCTTAGGTTTTATTACTGTAGTTTTTCCATATTGTTTCTTGCCTGTCCTTCTTTTTCTGAGGTTAAATAAGAGTGATTAAAGAACTGGGCAGAAAATGTGAATGTCTGTGTTTTATTCTTAGATTACATTAAACTTTACATGCAATGACCTTAAATTGAAAAAAAAAATCTCAAAAATAGTTAACTCTTTTTGCCTTAATTTAATAATCATATTCATCACCATAACAGTAATCGTACATATCTAGTGAATAGATTCATCAGGAAATAATGACCTCTGAAGATATACATGCCCTCCAGGCTTTCCTATAGAGTAAATCTCTATGATAAAATTTCAATTATTTGAAAAAAAATTTACAGTATGTCATTGGCATTAACTCATGGAAACATTTGTTTTACCTATGAGCATTTTCAGTCTTTAATCTTACACAGACTTTTTTGGTGTGCTTGTTTGCTAATAAAATTAATTTACATTGTTAAGTACATTAGTATTTTCTTTGTTTTTAATTGCTGAGCAATGTTGCACATTACACATTTTAAACATGCATGTCCAGTCATCTGTTGACATATATTTGTGTTGTTTCCAGTTTGGATCTATTATAGAAAGATTATAAATGGTCTAGTACAAGTCTTGGTGTGAGACAATTATTTTCATTTCCCTTAAATACATACTAGAAACAGAAAGCTTTTCCGGCATTATACTTTTTCCTCTCACACTACTGATGTAGAGAATTCAGCCATCTCATATTCTCTTTAACATTTGCTGTTGCTTGTCTTAATTTATTTATTTTTAATCAATTAATTTTAGTGCCATTCTAGTGGGTGTGGAATGCTACCTGTGTTTTATTTGAATTTCCATTTGTTTAATTATGTTGAGATATTTTCGTGGTCTTAGTGATCGGTGGTATATCTTCTGTTGTGAAGTATTGGCTGAAGAAATTTGGCAATGTTTTTGTGCTACTAGTCATCTCATTATTGATTTGTATGTTTTTAAAATATACTCTGGACAAACATATTTTAAGGTATATGTATTATGAATATTTTCAGTCAGTGGATTCCCTGTTTATTTTCTTAATGGTATCTTTGGATAAGGATGATTATAAATTTTGATGAAGGCCTGTTTATCATTTGCTTTTCATTTATGGTTACAGTTTTATGTATTAGTCTAAAATATATTTGTCTACATTAATGTTACAAATATATTTCTCTATATTTTCTTCTAGAAGCACCACAGTTTGTGGTTCTATGCTTTTCTAGATTCCATTTTGAATTAATTTTGTTTTGCATATAGTATGAGAAAGGAGTTGAGTTTCAAATTTTTCCATGTACTTTTCCTGTTGTTCCAGCATCATTTGCTGAAAAGGGTAACTATACTCAATTAAGTTGCATTGGTCCTTTTACAAAGCATCAATTAACCAAATATCTGTGAGTCTATTTCTGAGATTTTTGTCTCCCACTCTTCTATGTCTATTTTTCTTTGGCCAGTGACATTCTGTCTTAGTAAATAAAACTTTACATTATGCCTTAAATCTATACAGTGTAAGTCCTTCAACTTTGTGTTTCTTTCTTAAGAAAGTTTTCACTATTCTACATAATTTGCATTTTGTATTACTATTTACTTATCCATTTATACAAAAAGAAAGCCCGTTATAAATGTAATTAGAATTTTGTTGAATATATAGATCAATTTGCAGATAATTGACAAACTATTAATATTCAGTCTTCCATCTAATGAATATTGTGATAGTTCTACTGATTTAGGTCTTCAATGTTTTAGTAATTTTTGTAGGTTTTAGAAGAAAGGGCATATATGTCTTTTGCTAAATGTATTCCTTAGTATTTTATATTTCTCTTTTTTTGCTTTTGGAAATGGTGTTTTACATGTCGTTTTCCAATTTTTTATAGTTAGTCTTTAGAAATATGACTGATTTATGTGTATTGATTTTATATTTTGCTTTGACCTTGCTAAGTTCCTTTTTCAGTTCTTTTATGTTGTTTTAACTTTTGTAAATTCCCGGAGATTCTCTAGATAAATAATCTTGTTACTCATGAATAAAAATGTTTTTAATTTTAAGTTTTCTTTTCAAAGTTTATGTCTTTTATTTCTCTTATTGTTGCATTGGCAAGAACTTCCAATACAGTATTGAATAAAAGTTGTTTGAACAGCTATTCTTACCTTGTTCTTGAGTTCATGAAATCTTGTTTATCATGAGTTTTTTTGTTGCTCTAATTAATTACGATGTTAGTTACAAGTTTTTCTTAAGTGTTCTTTATCCATGTATCCATTTTTTAATGTTTGCTGCCTGCTTTTAAGCCTCATTCCTTCCTCTTTCCCACATCTTTCTCTCCCAACTCCTTATATTTATGATATAATTAATGATGGTTAATATATGATTAATGATCTTTCCCACCTCTTTCCCTCCCAACTAACCTTATATTTTAATGATATTTGTATATGCAGTAGTGAGATACATTGGTTTATTTTTTTCTCATAAAATGTTTCCTGGTTTTGGTAATAGAATAATGCTTGTCAAGAGATGACTTGGAAAGCATTCCCTCCTCTTCTATTTTCTGAAAGAGATCATGTATAATTAGCATTATTTCTTTCTTAAATCTTTGACAGTATTCATTAGTAAACCCCTCCAGCCTAATATCTTGTATTTTGAAAGATTTTAAACAACAAGTTTAATTTATTTAGTAGATAGCAGGGTCATTTATTGTATCTATTTTCATGAGGCAGTTTGGTAGTAGTAACTTACAAGGCCCATTTTAACAAAGTTATCAAATTTATGGGCATAAAGTTGTTTTTAGTATGTCCCTATGATCCTCTTAATATCTGTGGCATCAGTAGTGAAACACCCCATTAACTCTTGGTATTTCTAAGTTGTATATTTTCCCTTTCTTTATATTAATGTGCCTAATATTTAATCAATTTCATTTACTATTTCAAAGCACCAGGCTTTAGTTTTAGTTTCATATATATTTTATTTATTTCTACTCTTATCTTTATTTTTTCCTTCCAAATTTTTGGATTTAATTGGCTTATTTTATACAATAATTTGTTAAGGTAGAAGTGAAATGGGATAGTTCCCTTGATCTCTTCATGAGACTATGAAGCAAAGAGGTTGGCTTATTTACTTAGCTCATAGCTCTCAACACCTTGTGGGAGAGGGAGCATGCAGGTGAGCAGGTACAGAGGCTGATATGAGGGCTTCTTGGCAACTGGCAGGAGCAGAACTCTTTCAGGGCCTGCAGCAGCATCTGGAGGTTGCCCATGACACTTGGAGACCCAGAGGGCCTGCATTAGAGGGTGCTCTTTTAGCTTGCCATTCATGGATGGCTTAAGTGTTAAACAACTCAGTGGAGGGTCAATGGGACAGCCTCTTGCACCTGCACCCAGGGCCTTGTCTGGCATCCAAGAAGAATCAGGTTGTGCAAATGAGTTGAAGAGTAGTGAATGTGGAGGATTTTGTTGAGCAGTGGATGTGGCTTTCAGTCGGATGGGGAGCTAGAAAGGGGATGGAGTGGGAAGGTGATCTTCTGTTGGAGGTCAGCCATCCCCAGCCAAACTCTTCTCCAAGGTTCTACCATCAAGCCTTCCCTCTGAAATCAAGCTACTTCTCTCTAAGATCTGACTACTTCTCTTCTCTCCTTCTCTGCCACTCTGCCACTCTGCCACTCTGTCACTCTGCTGGTGGGGTCTGGGGTTTTTATGAGTACAGGATGGGCATGGGGTGGGCCAGGGTGGTTTTGGAAAAGGCAACATTTGGGTGGGAAAACAGAAATGCATGTTCTCACTTTGGGCTGCAGGTCCAAGCTTAAGTGTGTGGCCCTCATTGAGGACCATCCTCTTCTCCCCGGTATTTCCCTACCTCCTGCCTGTATCAGAAGCTTATTTATATGATGCATGTATTGCCTTATAAAACCAGTATTTGACTATATATATTTTCCTTTGCTTTAGATGTGTCCCCAAATTTGAAATTTTATGTTTTCTTAAAAACCTTATAGAAATCAAAGTACGTTCTAATTTATCATATGATTTCTTCTTTGTTACATGATGTATTTGAAACTGTGTGGTTTAATTTTCGTACACATTAGAACTTTCCAGATATCTTATAGATCTTTCTATGTTGATTTAAAACTTTATTCCATTCCATAAAACGTACAAGTTACTTTGATTTTTTGGTAGTTTGTTTTATTACACAGAATATAGTTTATCATGGTGAATCTACTATGTGAAAAAAGTAGATTTTCAGTTGTGTTTTTGCTCTCCTTTCCTATAAACATCAATTGGGTCACGTTGGTTGATGCTGTGGTCAAGATACTTACGTTATTAGAGATTTTCTTTCTACTTATTCTATCTGTATTAGTCTGTTCTCACACTGCTATGAAGAAATAGCCATGACTGGGCAATTTATAAAGAAAAAAGGTTCAATTGACTCCCAGTTCTGCATGGCTCAGGAAGCCTCAGGAAACTTACAGTCTTGGTAGAAGGCACCTCTTCACAGGACAGCAGGAGAGAGAATGAGTGTAAGCAGGAGAAATGCCAAATGCTTATAAAACCATCAGATCTTGTGAGACTCACTCATTATCATGAGAACAGGATGGGGGAACCACCCTTATGGTCCAGTGACCTCTTACCTTGTCCTGCCCTTGACACATGGAGATTATTGGAACTATAGTTCAAGATGACATTTGGATGGGGACACAGCCAACCATATCATTCTGCTCCTGATCCCTCCCGAATGTCATATCCTCACATAGCAAAACGCAATCATGCCTTTCCAACAGTACCCCAAAGTCTTAGCTCATTCCAGCTTTAACCCAAAAGTCCAGGTCCAAAGTTTCATCCGAGACAAGGCAAATCCCTTCCACCTATGAGCCTGTAAAATCAAGAACAAGTTAGTTACTTCCAAGATACAATGGGGGTATAGGCATTGGGTAAATAAGCCCATTCCAAATGGGAGAAATTGGTCAAAACAAAGAGGCTATAGGCCCTATGCAAGTCCAAAATCCAATAGGACAGTTATTAAATCTTAAAGTTCCAAAATGATCTCCTTAGACCCCATGTCTCACATCCAGGTCATGCTGATACAATGGGTGGGCTCTCACGGCTTTGAGAAGTTATGTCCCTGTGACTTTGTAGGGTACATTCGTCCTCCTGGCTGCTTTCACAGGTTGGTGGTGAGTCTCTGTGGCTTTTCCAGGCACATGGTGCAAGCTGTCAGTTGTTCTACCATTCTGGGGTATGGAGGATGGTGGCCTTCTTCTCACAACTCCACTAGGTGGTGCCCCAGTAGGGACTCTGTGTGGGGGCTCCAACCCCACATTTCCTTTCTGCACTGCCCTAGCAGGGGTTCTCCATGAGGACTTTGCCCCTGCAGCAAACATCTGCCTGGACATCCAGGCATTTCCATCCATCTTCAAAATCTAGGCAGAGGTTCGCAAACAATGCTTCCTGACTTCTGTGCACCTGCAGGCCCAACAGTACATGGAAGCTCTGAAGCACCCTCCTGAAGCCACAGCCTGAGCTGTACCATGGCCCCTTTTAGCCATGGCTGGAGTGGCTGGGATGTAGGGCACCATGTAAGAGGCTGCACACAGCAGGGCATCCCTGGACCCAGCCCAGGAATCCGTTTTTCCCTTCTAGGCCTCTGGGCCTGTGATGGGAGGGGCTGCCATTAAATTCTCTGACATGACCTGGAGAGAGACATTTCCCCCATTGTCTTGATGACTAACATTCAGCTCCTCATTACTTATGCAAATTTCTGCAATTGGCTTGATTTTCTCCCCAGAAAATGGGCTTTTCTTTTCTATTGCATCATCAGGTTGCAAATATTTCAAACTTTTATGCTCTGCTTTCTTTTGAACACTTTGCCACTTAGACATTTTTTTCCACCGGATACCCTGAATCATCTCTCTCAATTCAAAGTTCCACAGATCCCTAGGGTAAGGGTAAAATGCCAGAAGTCTCTTTGCTAAAGCATGGATTGACCTTTGCTCCAGTTCCCAAGAAGTTCCTCATCTCCGTCTTGATCCCCTCAACCTGGACTTCATTGTCCACATCACTATCAGCATTTTGGTCAAAGCCATACAACAAGTCTCTAGGAAGTTACAGACTTTCCCACATCTTCTTGTCTTCTGAGTCCTCCAATTCTCTAGAAAGTTCCAAACCCTCCCACATTTTTCTGTCTTCTTCTGAGCCCTCCAAACAGTTCCACCCTCCCCCTGTTACCAAGTTCCAAAGTCACTTCCACATTTTTGGGCATCCTTATAGTAGTGCCCCATTCCCTTGGTACCAATTTATTGCATTAGTCTGTTCTCACCCTGCTATGAAGAAATACCCAAGATTGGGTAATTTATAAAGGAAAGGGGTTTAATTGACTCACAGTTCAGCATGACTGGGATGATCTCAGGAAACTTATAATCATGGTGGAAGTCACCTCTGCACATGGCGGCAGGAGAGAGGATGACCTCAAGCAGGGGAAATGCCAGACCATCATATCTCATGAGACTCACTCATTATCATGAGAACAGAATGGAGGAAACTACCCTTATGATCCAATTTCCTCCACCTGGTCCCACCCTTGAAACATGGGGACTATTGGAACTACAATTCAAGCTGATATTTGGGTGGGGACACAGCCAAACCATGTCACTATCCCTTAGAGAAAGAAATGTTTAAGTCTCCAACTTCAATTGTACGTTTTGTTTTCTTTCATTTCAGTTCCATTTCTGTTTTATATATTTTGAAGACAATGCTGTCAGTTACATGTACCAATAAGATTATCAGTCCCCAATGAAGTGATTATTTTATCTTTATGCAGTGCCCTTTTTTATTCCTGGCATTATTTCTTTTCATAAAGTTTCTCTTGTCTGGCACAAACATAGCCATTCTAGGATGTTTTCTATTAGTATTTGCAGAATATATCTCTTTTGCCATCTTTTTTATTTTTAAACTATAGCTATCATTGTTGTTACCATAGATTTCTTGCGAACAGCACATAGTTTGTTCCTTTTTAAAATTATTTAACTTGAATATAATTGTTGTACAATTGTAGGTATATCAGTAATGTCGCTATTTGATTTCTATTTTCTATTTACTTTGTTGTTGTTTCCCTTTTCCTCTATTCCTGCCTACTTTTGAATTTATTGGGGTTTTTTTATAGTTCAGTTTTATCTCCATCATAGCCTATTATGTATACATCTTTTTTAAGTAGTTACTCCGGGATTTACAATAGACATGTTTACTTTATCAGTCTACTTTTAATAACTTATGCCACTTCACAAATAATAAAAGAACTTCACCACCATATATTCATATTTCCTTCATCTTGTCCTTTGGATTATTGTAACATATTTTGCTTTTCCATGTGTTTTAAACTAAACAACATATTGCAACTATTTTTGCTTTAGACTGTCAATCATCATTTGAATAGATACAGATAAGATAAATTTGTCATGTTTAATTTTCATGTTTACTATTTAGTTTCTCCATGACACAGCCACCCACCTCTTGCTCTACATCTTCAATCTTCTGTTTCCTTCTGTTTACTATTTCCATATTTCTTCAACTGTGTATGGGTAAATGCAGATTTCTGTTTGATATGGATTGACTTCCATATTTGAGGTTAGGCCTGCAAAGGTGCATCTTTTCTTCTGTCAGGCTATTAGCATGTAAAAGTCAGTAAATCCACTCAAAAATTGTACTGTTTGGGGTTGTGTTATTGCTTTTTGAAAGTGAGAGATTCTCTTCTGATATCCTCAGAGAAGTAACAGCCTATAGAAAAGGCCCCCTCTAGGAATTGAGGGTCCTAGTCCAACAACACAGACATCCTCAGAAAACTTGCCATACCAAGCCCCCCAGGAAGCATGAGATGCTAGCACATTTACTTTAGGGGTAGCTGTGCCTGGGAGATGACTGGACACCTTTTCGTGAGGGTAGGACGTTCTATAGATGCTTAGGTAGTATTGCATGCACATTGTCAGTCATTTCCATTCTTAGCTTAAATCGTTCATTAGGAATTAACCAGCCAAACTGGGAGGGTAGGCTGCACAAACAATTGGATACATTTTTAAGCCTTCTTGCCTTTACCAGCTGTAATCAGCATAGTAGTCTTGTACCTCCCACATGGCTGGACCGATAGGGCCTATGGGTTCCTGATTGTCCACTTATCCCCCATCATTGTTCACGTCATAGCATTTTCCCATTGAGAATATCTCTTAAAATCCTTTCTCATCTAGAACATATGTTTTAATTAGTGAAATCAAGAAATGTTTCACATGTTTGAAACATTTATTTTTACAATGTACTGAACAGTATCAGTTGCAAATACTTCAGTGTGTATAATGTACATCAAATACAATATGATGGAATTTATTTTTAAGACCACAATGATGAAGACAGTGGATTGATTAGCTACACTACTGTCACCTGAAAAAGTGTCAGCAATGTTGAGGAACCATTGATGACCCTGAAAGGGGGTGAAAATTCAACTCTAGTCAAACCATTACAAGTAAGGGGGACCAGCGCCGCATGACATGTGACCTCTTTCTTTGCAAGACAAATGAACAAGCTTTTGGCAGGGGTTACAAGTCCGGCATAAAGTGTATTTGAGTTTATGCCTGGCATAAACTCTGATAAAATGTTGACTTTATTAGAAACATAACATCCTTTTTATTTGTTAAACAATTGTTCCTTGACTGACAGAAGGATTCCATATGGCCGACCAGTCAATACAGCCCCAAGAAACAAGCCTCTATATTTTGTCAGGATTTATTAGCCACCACTCTTGGGAGACACATGATAGCACCATTTAGATTGAGGCTTCCAACCTGCCAACTAACAGTACATTATATAACTTTAGATGTCAAAAGGAGTGACATTTTGCTAAATTTTTACCTACTGGTGGAAAGTAGTAGGGCAGTTTGTGGCAGTGCCTCAAACAGAAAAATTTTCTGTAACACTTTGTGCACATCCACAGTGCAAGCATGTGACATATAAATTTCAATTCTATGATTTTACAATAGTCTCTTGAATAGGCTTGCAGTTCTCACTCATGAGCCACTTTAAGTTTTGTTTTTCTTTACTGTAAATTTTGCTTATAAAATTTGCATTAAAACAAAAAATCTCAAAAATGTTTAACCGAGACAGTTCAGGAATTACAGCTGCAATTACCAAGACACCGTCTTTTCTCCTTGTCTGAAAATTCAGGGAGTTCAGTAGAGTGTAGAGGAGGCCAGCTGGCCAGGGCGACCAGAGCAGCAGGAAAGCGTCCTTCCTTAAAGCTGGTTAGGAGAGGATGATGGGAGAAGGAGAGACGAGGGATGCATAAGGAGCGACTTCACACCAGGACGCACAGGGTAACACTCACTTTGAGTTTTACTGGCTGAAAACTCAGCATCAACAAATCCACTTTTAAGGAAAACCAAGATACTCTTTGGAAAACCGCTTTCAATTCTACTTCTTATTGTTCAGTCTACTGACTGCCCTCCCACTCTGGGTGGTAATTCCTAATTACTGCTATCACTAAAGATAGCACACATTATCTGACCTTGGGAAGTCTTCTCATATCCCCTAACCTGGCCTATGCAGCCCCTTCACAGGTAGGACACTGGAGGACGCTGATGCCATCCCCAGCTTGCTTGAGTGAGTTATGTGCTACCAGGTCCCAGAGAGTCTTATCATTCCCTATAACCTCATCCACACAGCCTCTGCTGCCCTTTTTCTAAAAAGCCACTGGGGCCTTACTGACCCCACATTAGGTGACACATTTTTCAATGGTCCAGCAGGACCTAGACAGTAGTAACTATTGCATCTGCTAAGCTGTCTGATCGTGGTTTCATATGTTTTTCTGGAAAAGTCGCAGTGAGCCCAATAGCTTGAAATAATGTATTACTTACACAGGACGGCATATGCAAGATCAATATGGTATCCATTTTCCACTGTCCACAGGGCAACATCAAACAGAAGGAAACAGAAGACAGAAGACCCAGAGCAACAGGTGGGTTGCTCTGTCTTGAAGAAGCTAATTCCATACTGCCGCTACACAGCTGGTAGCCTGAAGCTGTTTCCCAAATTTGAGGGGAGGGAGTGTGAGGGATAGAAATTCTCATGCCTCACCAGAATTAGGGAGTTGGGTAAGGAACTGCTTCATGGCAACCTGCCTTAGATGGGAAGCCTTTTGCAAGATATGAAAGCTGATAACTGCCTGCCAGGCCAGATACAGCTATGCCCAAAATAAACTCTGTGCCAACATCTCTTACTTCTTGGAGGCCTTGATGCCTCAAGTCCCATAAAGCTGTCTGATCCTGGTTCATGGATGAACCAGATAAATTAAAGACTTGAGTTAACTGGGCCACCAAGCTGTGCAGTCATGGAGAGAACTGTTAAAAACTATGCATGCAAATCGAAACTCAAGTCTCTGGGCAGAGGTGCAAACTGTGGGGCCTGCTGTGGAAAGCACATCCAAAGTGCATCTTGCTGCACTTTCATTAACCCATGGACAACAGCAATGAGCTGACAGTATGGTCCAGTGCCTGACAGTGGGAAGACGAATGATTATGTCCCGCAAACCAAATATATTGTGTTTTCAGAAACAACAAATATTTTCTAAGTTTTTGGGGTTCTCTAGTCAAGGTCTCACAAGCCTGCACACAGGTTGTTGACTGGGCTGCATTCTTATCTGGAGGTCAGGTTCTCTTATAAGAACATTCAGGTTGTTGACAGAATTAATACCTTGTCATTGTTAGACAAAGTCTTTCAGGCACTAGAGGTAGTCCATCTCTATGAGCAGTAAAAAGCATGGCTGTTTTCTTCTCTGGGGATATGCGGACTGACGACATCTCCTCTTCAAAAGGGGCCCCGGTCTTCTTTAGAGCTTCCATGTGACAAAGTCAACATCATAATGATAAAATATCTTCAAGTTAACTTAAAATCACCAAATTTGGGAACTTACTTGCCTCTAAAAATATTCCCTTTGCCTTTGCCATAGAATTTAACCAATTACAGGAATGATATATTACATTTTTACTGGTCCTCTTCATACTCAAAGGAGGAGATTATTCAGTGCATGTAAAACAGAGGGCAGAAATATTGGAGGCCATCTAAGAAATATGTCTTGTTTTGCAGGCTTAGGTAGAATTACCAGGACTTTCAGAATCACTACTGAAGTGATCTGCGTTACACAATGTATACCCACTGAAACGTTTTTCTAAGGTGTAAAAAAGAACAATATTTTTCATGTAATATCATGAAAGCATATATAAATTGTCCTACAGAGTATTTGTTTCTCAGAATTTGCTTAGAAATTATACATATTATTACTAGGAGTAGTAGCACATGTGCAGTAGTAGCAGAATAATGAGGTTGCAGGACAATTTCTGTACGCATCGCCTCTCAACCAAAGCCCTCATGCATTCCAAATGATGCTGTTCTGACAAAGTAAGGCTTAATCCACTTTTATTGATTGGTACATTGAGGTTCCTTTTTTGATATATTTTTAAATTACATAATGTGAAATTTCAGTCATGCATCTAGAAGAAAGCATTTTCTCACTCTGAGCATCAGTTTCCTAATCTTTAAAATGAAGTTATTGCATATGTGACCTCTAAACTCCTCCCAACCCTGAGTATTTTCAGAATATAAACTTAGATCAAATATGCTTTACATCATTAATAAGAGGAACTTTAGAAGGTAGGCTAGCACTTCATAAAATCCTCTTTAACTTTTATGTACTACTGATACTTATTTTAAAGAACTTTCAAGTAGATTATTAATATTGCCATGTTATAAATATCTAGATTTTACTGATATAGTTGAACCTGGATCAACTCTATTTCTCTAATTTTTCTTATGTGTTCAATTATCTCCCTATATCATGGCAGCTCTTTGAAATTTTCTCCGGACCATGTGTCTTATCCCAGAGATATATCAGAGCTCATTTGGAATTTAACAGATGAATGCATGATGCTTATATTAATCTTCTACTGAACTGAAATCCTTTTTTAGAAAAGAGTAATAAAATTTCCCAGGCCCAAAGTAAAAGAATTATATATGTTTTGAATAATGGCTTTCCAAATTATGAATAAAAATTGGAAATATTATATAAAAAGTCTTGTTTAGAATACTACATATAACTATTAAATATAAACAGAAAGAACTTTAATATCAGATGTTTTTATTTATTTGAAACAAAATATCTGCTATCTGTTTGTGTTATAGTACAAAAGAACTTCAACTATTTAACTTATAATAGTTTAATAGCTCTTTTTAAAAATTTATATTCATTTTACTTACACTTTTCTGCGTAGTCTAGTTTTTTTAATGTATGTATGAAACGCAGGAAAATATTGTAGTTTTGCTAGTGTACATATGTATTTTAGAATGTTTATTGTTTTAGATTGCTTTCTCTCTCCCACTAATGGTCCACTGTTAAAAGCTAGGATTAGATTAAAAAGCTTTGAGCTTAAAAAACTTATCATAAAATAGAAAGAACAGAGATATTGTAAATTTGACAGGTAGGCTTTAATTTTAACTTTCCTAACTGCAACAATTTAACCTTGAGAAATTTTTTAAATCTTGCTTTCCTCAACATTAGTTATTTCATACATAAAACATGGGTAATGATACATATATCACAGAGTTGTTATGAGGAATAAATAATCTATAATCTATAAATACACTTGCATAGTATTTGACATATTTTACACATTCAGTAATGCTATAAATAAAACCAAAATACTTTATCAAAGTACTTTGCAACTGTTTTTTTTTTTTTAACTTCCTTTTTTGAGAAGACAGAAGACACACAGGTGGGTTGGTCTGTCATGGAGAAGCTCATTCTATGCTGTGGCTACACCGTTGGTCGCCTGAAGCTGGTCCCTAAATTTGCTGGGAGGGGTGTGAAGCGTGGAAATTCTCATGCTCCATCAGAACTAGGGAGTTGGGCAAGGAACTTCCTCATGGCAGCCCCCACAATATGGGGAGCCTTGTGCAGGACATGGAAACTGATAACTGCGTGTCAGGCCTAGATACAGCTGTGCCCAACATAAATTTTTGAGGGTATTTGTTTTTCTTTCAGTACTTATGACATAGATGTTGCCTTCAGTTCATGTTGATCAAATTGTATCTCTGAAATACATCTGCATAACACACAACAATAGAAAACAATTTAGGAAAAAAAAAAAAAAACTATGTTAAAAGTGGTAGTGACCAGAGTTTCATATTGCAGAATTTGAAAAGTAATCCTAAAACCCAGAATAATTTTGGCAAGAGAGCAGGAAGATGGAAACTTTTATATCACCTTATAGAAGAGCCAAGAAGAGTTTGTAAGAGCCTTAATATGAAGCTCTAACTTAAAGAATTCAGATGTGGAGTCAACACATAGGCCTATTTTATTCATAATGGAAAGTAAGGAAGGCAGAGATAAAAGCAAAATCCCATGTTTGTAAGCAATTTTTATGTCGGCAAAATTGATCCAATTGGAAAGAATAAGGCTAAATATTTGCCCAGGTAAGCATGGAATGAGGTTTGTAGCTGCAGATAAAAATGAGCTGAACATAGACAATAATGTTCTAACCCAGAAAACTATAAATTTTTTTCTTACCATGAAATCCAAGGCTTCTAATAGCAAAATATATGGTACTAAATTAAGAGAAGGGCCACTCCTTCATCACTGAAGGAGTTCCATTCTTCTTATGTAGTTGATGGGTTAAAACTAGCATAAAACTAAAATTAGCATAAAACATTCAAACTTTCAACTCAGAATCAAATAATAAAATTCTAAAATCTGCAGATAAAGAATTAGGGAAATTATGTAGGTTCCACCATTCATGTACAGTTTTTATCAAATAGAATGTCAAAGAGGCATAGAATTTAACCCGTCCAAAATAGATTTAACGCAAGTACAAATATCATGAACCTCCATGTGCATGAAAGCACACACACTCATGTTCTCACAAACTCAAAACAATACAGGCATTAGTGTATTTTTTAAAAGACATAAGAAATAACATTCAAAATATTGAGAAACAAGAATTTTTAAAAGTATATGTTAGAGAATAGAGAAATGACTTAAATATAACTATATTTCCCTTTAGGAAAATTAAAGAAGACATAGACAGGATGAAATATTTGATTAAACATAAATGAAGGAAAAAACATAAGCTCAAAAAACAGGGAACTGGCATGGCTAAGTACATACATTAAGGTAAAAGTTAATACCGTTGCTATATTCATTTTGTTTACTCAAATCAAAATGTGAAGAAATTACCTGCAGGAGAGACTTGTGAGAATCACAATAATAAAGGAAATTAACAAAGCAATTGATGGGATTTGAGGAAAAATGAGAGAAATGGAAAACAGACAAATACACACATGGAGATAATTGATATAAATTTAAGAAAATGTATCAAATGAAACGTTATGATAATGTCAAACATAAAAGACAATGATATTAAAATGAAGGCATGGATGTCTAGATAGGTGTTACTCATTGTACTCCAGAGAAATGAAATTAACGACCACAACACTCTATATCGTGAATAATGAACTAAACTTTATAGTAAAAGGTGCAACATCTTACACTACAAAGAATGCTGTAGCTAATTTTAAAAGAGAAAAATAAATGACTTCTGAGTTACTTCTAATTAGTAGAGTAATGTAAGACAAAAGAAATATTTAGCATACTTTGAGGGGAACACATTATGTGACTTCAAAATTTTATATTCCTTCACATAACGTTAATAAGTAAAGGCAAGAAAAAGACATTTTTACATGTACAACTTATTAAGAGTTTTATTATACATGTAGCTTTACTGAAAAATTGATTTGAAAACATAAGCTTATTAAACAATACACAAATAAAAGTATACATGCATGTAGAAATAAAGCTTTAAAAAAACTTGTAAGAATTAAATCCATATAATTACAGAATCAAATTTAATTCAATGAGGTAATTATGGTTGTGAAACAGAATGCTCATGACATACTTAGGTAAAAATTTGCATAGTACACAAATGAAGATTGAAATAAAATAGCTATAGCCTACTATTTTGTTACTGAGTGCTTCTAAGATGCCTGGCAGTGTCACAAGATATTGAAAATAATTAGAGAAAATACAGGAGATTTTTGGCCTGGGGCAGAAAAATAAAGTCCTCACAATATGTTTGAAAGAAGTAGGAAAAATGATATTTGCATGAAATCAAGTACAGCTAAATTTGATAAGATGGTTACATGATCTTATTAGACATGGAGATGTCTGGATATTATCGTAGATCTCTTAAATTTTTCCAGGAATGTGGATCAGAAATCTGCATTGTAGATAAGTTGGCAAGGTAATTTTATGCCTATCTAAATTTGAATGCTATGCTTCTTAGTAGATGAGTAACTCAACAGGTACCTGAAATCAGTAGCAAGAAATAATAGGGGATTGTATCCTATAAATATTTAAGGACTGTGTCCTATAAGCATCCAGGATATTTGAAAAACCAAGGAATTTTGCTGGAAGAAGTAGCCTTTAAACTGAGACTTCGACTATGAGCAGGATTTGTTTAGTTTAGGAGAGTGTTCAAGACACACCTTTTTTAAATGTAGAAGTTAGGAAACAAAACATTCAATGCCCACGAACTTAACAATTCAGCCAAAACACAGATATTTAGAGAAAAGTGGCATGAAACACCTTTTCTATTGCCACAGCTAATCCTCCCTTTTATTAACAATGAAATTTATTCACTTTATCCTTAACATGAAAATTTCATGAATGTGTCTGAATTTGAAACATCTTGATTTTCTGATCTCGAACCCAGTCTGTTAGAGTGACCTTGTGTTGATCACTGCTTTTGACATTTAGATTATTATGTAATTTAACAAAAAAGTTATATTTCCTTTAAGAAAAGTATAAGTATAAAATTAACTCGTGGTTTTGGCTATATTTAATTCAAGAATATGTAGTAAAGGCCGACTCTAAAAGTTAGTTGGGTGTGCTGGCACGCATCTGTGATCCCAGCTACTCAGGATGCTGAGGTGGAAGGATGACTTGAGCCTCAGAGATTGAGGCTGTAGTGACTTGTGATTGTGCCACTGCAGTCCATCCTAGGGGACAGAGTGAGAACTTATCTCAGAAAATAATAACAATAATCTGTAGTAAAAATGTCATTACATGTAAGACATAGATGGGAAGCTAAAATGAGTAATAAGATCCAGTCCTGCCCAATTAGCCATGTGCATCCTCAATTTGGATGCTGTTGAAACTCCCCGAATGTAATTTGTTTTATATCGAATGCCATATGACTCAGAGTATGTAATAAAATCTGTTTTTGAGATTAAATTTCCAACTTTCTAAATATACTGTACTGTAACATACATGTTATAATTGATGACTAACTTCTAATTAAATAGTAGATACCATAGAGAAAATGTTTTCTGACCTGTCTACCAAAATATAGCTCATTTTGACACAAGAAAATGAATAGCTGTCTTTGAATCAAAAATTAATCCATAAGCAAGATTTTACATAACCTTTTTAGAAATGAATAAATTTTACAGCTTTATTCATTGTCAATTCCTTGATAGTTTTCAGACTGTATGAGATGAAGATTGCAAATTCTATAGAAAGTGCAAGGGATCAGAATAACACCAAAGTCTAGAAGTATCATGCAATTTTTCACATGACAACTAGACACATGACTGTTTTACGAACAAAATAAATTTTTGTATTGCGCATGACAGCACTTGTATCATAACTCAAAATCTCATTAAAGTATTTACACTATTAGCCGACCTCCTATTTTCAGCACAAGACTGCAAATAAGGTTTTAGGTGGGATAAACACATGAAGATTTGACTCTTATAAGGCTGTAAGTGTTGAATATTCATTACACTTTATGCTCTGGGCAGCTCAAAAGTTTGCTCTGTTTTGTAATAGACAGCTCACGGAATGGAACGTCTCACTCTAATGTAGTAGTAACTGCTTCCTTAAATTTTATGAGAGACTAATATGTTCATTCCTTTTTTCTCTGTTTGCTTCATTTCTATATGATACCAGTTTCCTCTAACTGCTCATGACTCTCTCCCCTTAGTACATCTTTCATTTTTATTTTGTTATTACTTTTTTTCTTTTCCACCTTCTTCCATGAAAAAAAATAGTAGAAGAAAACTAACTAACTGAAGCCCAAAACCATCCAGTCAAGAAATCTGACAATCTGGGGACTGAATTTGAATTTGTAGGTAGGTGGAGTTCTATTTTATTTTTTTAAACAGGGTCTTGCTCCATTGCCCAAACTGGAGTGCCATAGTGCGCCCACAGCTCCCTGCAGCCTCAAATTTTGTGTTTAAGTGATCCTCTTGCCTCACCCTCCTGAGTAGCTGGGACTGCAAGGTGCACACCACCACACCTGGCTGATTTTTTTTTTCTTTTTGTAGAAATGGAGTCTCACCATGTTGCAATAGAGTTCTTAATTAACATATCAGGTTGATAAACATTTGTTTAGGAATTGGAAAATGTACATTCTCAATTAGACTGTATTTGGAAAACCTATAATAATTAACCCTGATTACATAAAAACATATTTAAGGGAAACAAAGAATAAAAAACACTAAGTGTTTTTGTTGCGTGGAAATATGTTACTAGCACATTATTTTAGCCACGCTCTGCATGTTTTTGTTAAAGCATGACTGTATATACAGATTGGAAGGGCAACTCCCGGGAACTCAGCAAAAGCCATGGTATGAACACAAGCTAAGTGGCCCACAGAGACTGAATTCAATGCTAATCATGTAACTTAGTGTTTTTGTCAACTAAATTTAGAGAATATAGTATCATCTGCTGCAAAACCCTATTTTCACATGTCTGAGGAAGACTATTCACTCATGATAGATAAAATTAGAGTTTACAAAGTTTAATTATTTTGTCATATTTGCTTCCTTCAGTCAGGCATTTTGTATTTATTTTGAAAATAAATACGAAATTTACTTTCCAATATTGTTAATGAAATAAGAATTGACTTTGAAGTTATTTCTATGTGAATGTAATCAGAACAAGTATTTAAACTGACTTTATTATAGATTTCTTGTTACTTAAACACAGTTTATTCTAGAATATCCTTGACCATGAAATCCATATTCTTTTACATCTTAATCATATTCTTCCAAATATATAGTAAGGGGTTTAGATTTTAGCTTTGCCTTTAACAGTGATTAAGTTTTTATCTACTTCATCATCATGAAAAAGATATAGTAAATCTGTGGATAACTCTTAGAAGATCAAAATTGAATTGAGCTAAAGTATTTTTAGTCCTAGTAAGCGGCGTCCCCCAAGTAGTGTCATCTTTTCTGGTATGCAGAAAAGTGTTAGGTCACCTAACTAGATCCTATGTACATATACACTCTGTTTCAAAATCTACTCTGGCAATATTACAAAGTTGTCCTTGGAGTGTTCCACTAGCAAAGTGATCTTACCCTAGGGAAACAGCAAGAAAAACAAGCAGACAATTATGAGATGGTATTTTTGGATGCTTTGATAAAGAGAGGCACAGGATACTGTAGAGGATCTGAGGAGGGGTCTCCTTGCTGGTATTTGAGAATCCGACGTTTTCCTCTAAGAGCTGACATTTGGGATGAGCCTTGAATATATGTCTCAGTTTTATTTTGCTGCCTAACACACTATGCTCACGTTTAACAGCTCAAAACTGCATACATTTATTTATTTATTTATTTATTTATTTATTTATTTATTTTATTATTTTTCTAATTTTAATTATTATTATACTTTAAGTTTTAGGGTACATGTACACAACGTGCAGGTTTGTTATATATGTATACATGTGCCATGTTAGTGTGCTGCACCCATTAACTCGTCATTTAGCATTAGGTGTATCTCCTAATGCTATCCCTCCCCCCGCCCCCCACCCCACGACAGTCCCCTCACAATTCCTGTGGGTACTTTGGCTGACTTTTTGTTACAAACAGGATAATCAACTTATCTGGGCTTGCCCAAGACGTTCCCGATTATACAATAGAAAGTCCTGCACCCTAGGAAACCTCAGTCCCAGGCAAACTAGGGACTTCGCATGAGTACTCACCTTGCAGCCTTGATGAGGCTGCAATCACCATGCTGACTGGGGCCAAAGTCGTTTCAATGTTTGATTGGGGCAGGGGCAAGTTCTGTTTCTGAGCTACTCAGTGGTTGCTGACACGACTTAGTTCCTTTGGAGCTGTAAGCCAGTGGGGTCTTCAGGTCCCACTGGCCACTGGCCAGAGGCTGCCCTCAGTTCCCTGGCAGGTGACCCTTTCCATCAGAGTCTGACTTGAGATCCAGGGAGAACGTGCCAGCAAGATGAAATCACCGTCTTTTGTAATTTAATTACAAAAGAGACACCTCATCACTTTAGCCAAATTCTATTTGTTAGAAGCAATTCACTAACTAGATCCAGCCCATCCTCTGAGGGAGGGGAATAAACAAGGCAGGACTACCAAGAATAGAGGGAGATCTGCCAGAAGCTTTCTGTGCAACAGAGAATCAGCTGCAAGAAGAAACAGCTGAGAGAAGAGTATCTTATAATGGTGATAAACACATTTTCTACAGAGCACGTAACCATAAATTTATCTGATTAAGAATATGCTCAAACAATAGATAGCAAAGACAAATTTATTCTCAATTTTCTTTTAAAACATTTCACTACTCATGGCCGGGCACAGTGGCTTAAGCCTGTAATCCCAGAACTTTGGGAGGCTAAGTTGGGCAGATCACTTGAAGTCAGGGGTTCGAGAGACCAACTTGAGCAACATGGTGAGACCCTGTCTCTACTATTAAAAAAAAAAGAAAAATTAGCCTGGCCTGGTGACACATGCCTGCAGTCCCAGCTACTGGGAAGCTGAGACAAGAGAATCAGTTGAACCCAGGAGGTAGAGGTTGCAGTGAGTCAAGATCACAGCACTGCACTCCAGCCTGGGCAACAGAGTGAGACTCCACCTCAAAAAAAAAAAAAAATCCACTACACTCGATGAACAGATAAAAGAGTGTAATTTTGTGAGTGTGCATTTGTGCAAATGTGTGTCGGGGTGGAGTAGGTTGTTTTGAATTCCCTCTTTTATTTCAGCTGATTTTTGAAATTATTTTTTATTTACAGAACTCCAGGAATAAACTATATAATTAAAATTATAAAAAGAACAAGTCTTAAAATAAAAGTATTCTTAAAGCCTGAGCTTTCCTGCTTGTCTAAAGCCATTATTTTCTCTGACTTTCTGATCTTTTCAATCTTTCAATGTGTATTTCCCCCCACTAAAAACTGCTTTTTCCTATAATATTTCTCTTTCTCCCAAATCCATCCTTAATCCTTTGCTCTTCTAATGTTTGTTATTCTTTTAGATTTCAGCACAGGCGTCACTTTTTCAGGATTTTCTGAACTAATAAAATGTTCTTTATTAAACATTCTCATACATATATATTTCATGTTCTGGCATTTACCACAGTTCTATCTTTACACTTATAATTATTTATTTATGTTTATTTCCTAAAACATTAGCTTCATGTGGGAACTCACCATGTTTTCCCTACTCCAAGACTAATGTCTTGCACAAAGGGTACAGTAATCCCTCCTTATCCTTGGATATATGCTCCAAGACACCCAGTGGATGCCAGAATAGTACCATAAATAGTATTGAACCCTATATGCACTATGCTTTTCCCCGTACATACTTATGATAAAGTTTAATATGTAAATTAGGCACAATAAGAGATCAACAATAACTAGTAACAAAATGGAATAATTACAACATATTATTATAACAATTACGTGACTATGGTGTATCTTTCTCTCTCTCATAATATCTTCTTTTACTGTACAGCAGTAACTGAAACCCTGAAAAACAAAACCCTTGATAAGCAGAGACTGCCGTACTATTTTTAATCACTTGCTGAATAAATAAATAAAAACACATGTTATAATTACCTAAATGTTTCTTTGCTAAATTAATAGTTTTTTCTGAATTGAAATTCTTGTTTTATTTGGTTTGTATATATTTAGTGAAGGAGTAGATAGGTAGTGTTAAATTAAATGTGGCCTAATGCCTCTTCTCTTGAATCAATTTGTAGCAAACTGCAGCCTAATTTTAAGAATATAATCTTGTAACAAGTAGCTGTGTCTCAGTCGCTTACATGAGATAAGCTTCAGCCAATCACAGGCTGCCAACTGCTCAGGCCATGTCCATATAAGGCAAATGCCTCATCACACCCTGCATAAAGAAAGTCAACACTCAGCTGCAACCAACCACACAAGCTATATACGTATATGCTTCCTTGTTTCGTTTATAAATACTGCCTTCCCATGCGCTGGGGGGAGCTGTCTGAACCTCTCATGGTTCTTTGTGCTGTTTGATTCATAAATTTGCTAAAATAGGCTTTGCTAAATTTATTTTGTCTAAAGCCTTTCTTTTAACAGTAGATATAACTGTACACAAAATACAGTAGTTTATTTTCTCAACTTTAATATTTTTCTGTGCTAAAAGTTATCAATATTTCTAGTCAATAATAAAAAAGTTATGCTATTGGATATTCAATATCCAATGTGTATGCAAGTTATGAATACACTTAAATGCATCTTATTTGAACTTACACATTTTTATGGCATATATATATATATAGTATGCACCACGAAATATAGTAATCATATGCCCTTTTATTTTGTTCATTTAGATAACGAAATACTTTAATAAAAAATAACCTATGACATCTTTACAGAATTCCTATGGAATTGTTTGGACAGGAGAATATATTCATTTTCAAAAAGAGGCTAGTGATGCTCAGGACGATTAAGTAACTAGCCAAAGGTTATGCAGCTTCTAAAAACAAAATGCTTTTTCAGAAAGTGTGGGTACAATTGAACTCTTTTTAGTTCTGTCAAATTTCTCTCTTTATCATGTACCTGTAGTTTCAGATGCATTAGTGGCTACTTTGGCTTTCATGCCTAGAGGAGCATCATCTGTTGCAGGCAGGATGGGTAGAGGGTCCAGCAGCCTCTTGTCTTCCTGCCTGATTCTTCAGTATTTATCTGCCAAATCGAATTACCACAAGAGGGCACAATGACCTATGAAACATTCTCTCCCTATGCTTTCTGTTTCAAATTGATTCAAAATAGGAGAGATGGAGAAAAAAAGAAAAGGCAAAGAATACTTTTAAGTAATTAATTTCTAACTATTTTTTAATCCTGGCATTGTAGGCATGCTGATCAGAAATTTAAAGAACTTCTACTCATTAGGCTAGACAAACATATGTCCTGCACTGATTTGACATATCTAGAAAGATTCATCATAAACACATTTATTAATGAACATTTTATGAACTTTTACACGCCGAAGATGCTTTCATGTAGTTACCACGAAGGTCTACGTTTGGCTTAGAGGAAGCACAACTGAAATATTCTTTCCTTTTTTTTCAGTCCCATACACACTCTGGTGTCAAGCTCAGTACTCCTATTTACTGGGAGTCCTTCCTTAATGGTATCAGACCTACGAATTACTTTTTCCTCTTCATGGGCATTAAAAAATCTCATTATTTGCCTTTTTTCTCACTCATATGTTGAGTCAATTTTAGGTGTTAAATTCTGCACTGGGATGGGGATGATGCAACTTTCAGACAATGGCTTGGATGAACTCAAAGACTAGCAGAGAGGAGAGAAAAGTAATCTTTATACAAAGAAGGAGGACTTATTCGTGATTCTTATTTTACAGATGAGATAACTCCCTCATGAGTTTAAGTAATTCCTCAAAACCACACCAATGACAATTTGACTTTAAAACCCATGATTTTTTTTCTTCCAACACTCTGATAAGGTCATGGATTTTTAATTTGCTTTCAGCCTTTTGAGGATCGTCACAGATCCTCAAGTAGTTTGCATTAAATGCAACAGAAGTGTATCAACAACTAATTTGTATACATTATTATTTGATTTAATTTTCGGTACATTAAATATTTTGAGAAATGCCATTATGATAAGTAACAAATTCACTTTTACTCTTGATGTGAGATGGAACTATATATAGAATTACTGAGAAACAAAAAATTTGCAAATTTATTTATGCAAAACAACATCATTGACCGAAATTCAGAAAGTATTTTTAGTTATTTACTCTTTGTGATGAACTGTGCTATGAGAGCTAAATAGAGAATAGATTAAATGAATGTGGTGATCAACCACTAGGAAGACTTCACAGACGATGTTCTTTCTGATAGAAAGTTTTTAAGGCTTTGGAAGAAACTCTTCTGTAAAGAGAGTTAAGACAATTCCAAGGAGCAAACTTGGTATGAGAAATGACATCCAGATGAGGACTTAAAATGAGTAATGATATATTTGTGCAATTTACAATAACTGGTAGTTAGATTAATTTACAAAATAGGCAAGTACTTGAAAATAATGATTATTCATCAAATATTTGTTTTTACCTAAATATTATTAGATAACATATAAATAATAAAAAAACAACTTCGCTTGTCTCAAGAAAATTTATATACATAAAATATAAACATATGTACTATGATAGTATGAAAATATAGTTTTAACCAACTTCTTCATATACATATCTACATTAGATTTCAGGAAAGAAATAAGTTACAATGAAATTAAAATAAAATAATGTATCTGAATAGTAAATAATAGGTCAAGATACAAAGTTGTTTGAAACATTTGTAGGACAAGACCTTTAAAATTCCCAATAACTATCTTTTAGTATTTGGAGTCATAAAAAAATTGAAAATCATCATCCAAAATTATTGATCCTATTAACATAAAAAGTTTAAGGTAGTAGAGATAGATGGCAAACATGGATGAAAAATAAATATTTTTCGGGAATATTTGTGAGTATCAAAGGATAAGTAGAGCGTTGGGCCTGGCTTGGCTAATTTCTTTTAACTTTTTTAAAGCAATGCTCTCTGAAAATAGGTTTCAAATAATAGCTTTATGTATATATATATATATGTGTGTGTGTGTGTGTGTGTGTAAATAATATATGAGTAATTTCTAAACCTGGTGGTATACTCCCAGGAAATCAGACAGAATAGAAGATATTAATAAAAAGAAAACTGATATATATATATATATGTTTTCAGATATATCTGATTAAATATTAGAATGTTGACAAAGCATGTTTGTGGAAAGGTTATGATTATTTCCATAATGCATGTGGTTTTTCTATTTGTAGCATTACTGAAAACAAACAACAAAAAACTTATCAATTCAAATAAAGCTATTACTGTTAGAGCTTTAAAGGCAGCTTAGGACTAAATAACAAATCAAATAAATATGTGATGTATTTGGGAGAATGGTTTCCACCCCGCTCCCCCCACGCCAAAAAAAAAAAAAAAAAGACAGAATACCAGAGGACTTGGAGAACGTAGTTAAACTTTGCAAAGTTTATGGGTTGAGGTCGCATGAAAATCAAGGTATCAGGTTGGTACTGATCTAGCAGAAGGTCCCACAAGTCAAGTAGATGCTGCTGAATTACAGAGTTGAAAATCACTTGTCAGTCAAAAATTAGCATAATAATATGACTTAGCCTGCTACTAACATGATTGATATTATACTAGTGAGAGTAGTATCTAGCTGGAATGACACTTGTTGCAATACATGATGCCCTCTCAGATAAAAGCTTAGATTCTGCATCAAATTTTATTAGAATGAGAATATTTATAGGTCTTCTAATACGTCTTCACATACCCTTTTTCTATAATAAATTATTCTAGAGCAACATTTTCCTAGGGTTATCTTCAGAAGATTATTTCAATAGGATGTTTATGGATAGCTACTATATTAATAGTTGGGGGAGGATGTTGGAGACTATTGACTTTGTCCTGGTGGTTTTTCTTTGGAAAAATCATTAAAGCTCATGAGTGGCAGCCAAATGTAAATGGCACATGGAACTAAATCTCTAGCTCTGACCTCTCCCTGAAACTTCCATCCCTTGGTTGGACAAATACAACCCGCTCATCATTACTTCATTATTTCTAAAGCCTAAAGTCAAAATTGGAAAACTTCTGCATTTTTAACATTTGTAAATGTCATCACCATTCTCTCACTCATGTAGATTTTTTTAAACTTCTATTTTAAGGTCAGAGGTACAAGTGCAGGTTTATTACACAGGTAAACTTGTGTTACAGGGGTTTGTTGTACAGATTTTTTCATCACCCAAGTATTAAGCCTAGTAGTATCCATTAGTTGTTTTTCCTCATTCTCTACCTCCAAAAGGCCCCAATGTGTGTTGCTCCACTCTAGGTGTCCATGTATTTTCATCATTTAGCTCCCACTTACAAGTGAGAAAAAAGAATTAGTCTCATGTCCAATCTCCCATTCTGTGTATGACTCAGCTCTTTAGGGTCTCATTCTGCCTGCACTGCTCTTTGATATCTAAATCTGTCTGTTTCATCTTGTTACTGCCGTCACTACTTCAATCCAAGCCCTCACAAATTACCACTGCACAATCTTAAAAGCCTTCTCACTGGCATGAATATGCAGCTTTATGCCCTTCCAAGCCAGCTGAATTCATGATGGTCAGATGGTAATTTGAAGAGCAATTGTTGAATTATCTTTCTCCAATACTTAGTTATGTTTATGGATTCTCCTTCGCTCATTGAAAAGGGTCCAAATTCCCCAGATAGGTTTTTAATGACCTCAGACCCTGCACCTAATTCATACTTCTAACTTTATTTCTTCTTTTTGTTTACATATCATTTGGGTTGAATGAGACTATGTAACCCAGAGGGAGAACACAGAGGAACACTGTGCTGTATTGAAGGAGAGAAACATGTTAGGAATAGTGAGTTGAAATAGAAAATAAATCAGTGAATTTAGGAGAAAGGAAGGACGTAAATAAAAACTTATCGATAAATGGGACCTAGAAGAAGTAACTGCTAATATATTATTTTCTTGAAAACACGAAATTAAGGTTAACCAAGACAAAACTGGAGTTTGACCGCATAAGACAAAGAGTCTAGCTGAGGATTACCTCAACATGCCATGCTTATTTGGCTACGTAAACAAGAGGTTGATTCATTGTAATGAGAAGAAATCGTGTTAAAAACATAAATACTCTATTTTGCCAGAATGATACATTGTCCAGTTATTTTACCTTGGGAGAAGATCTGGGAATAAATTGGGGATGTTTTGTCCTATAGAAAATTAATCAAATCATGTGAAAATAGTATGAATAAATCTAAAATAGTTAATTTCAGCTTTTGGACTTAACATGCCCTCTGAGTGTGGTGCAGACCTGTTGGTTCACTCATTAACTGGTCACAGTCAGCATAGGTAATAAACTACATGCTTTTGTATACATGTTGTCTCATCTGTTCTGCTTATGAGCATTCTTCCGTAGAAGAAACTTCAGACATGGAAATGTGCTAAGTTCATTTTCCTGAAACCTAGGTGGGTTGGATTTGCTACTTGTAATAGTAGCAGTGAATTGGTCAGGCTGCACTCATTCCTTTATCCTTGATGACGGACAGGTTAATCCAGGCTGAGATTGGCAGTAGAATAGGTGTCCAGAATTTGTTCCAACCAAACTGAATTCTTTATTTTTCCATCTCTAATATTTATCATATTGTTTTAATCAAGCTTTTCTCTACGCATCTCTGTATTTTCAAATGGCACTTATAATTTAAGCGTCAGGTCAAAGACACTTTGTCAATATTTTTCATGGAATGAATTAATGAGTAAATGTAAATGAACAAATTAATGAATAAGTGAACAAAGGAATAAATGGATAGAAACATATGGGTTGACAGGAAGTTCCGGGAATAATATAAAACTGTACTACTTATATCCCAGACTTGTGTAAAACGTTAATTCAATAAACATTTACCAAACACTCTCTTAAGAACCCTGAGTCAAAGAGAAGAATAAAGCTGTTTCTGTCTTCCAGATATCCTGACTTACTAGAAGAGTACAGACACATTTCATGAGTAATCTAAGAAGGAAAACATCATTTTATCTCCAAATGTAAGGAAGTGTTTACTTTCAAATACTAGATAGGATGCCTAACAGTAAAAATATCTGTGACGGTTAGTGGAGGTTTATTGACTGGTAAGAAAAGGGTAGGATTTTTTAGAACCAAAATATTAACATTAAAAAATGTCTACAGATTTTTGTCAAGTGAATAAGATAAAGTATCAGTAAAGGGTAAAGAATAGAACTGTATAAATGTATAAGAAATTGATATGTGTGACTGCTTTGTAAAATAACTATTTCCATAGAATTAAATCTAAGTGTTGAGACAAAATTTAGAATACTCAACTAATTAGTCAAAATAATAGCCATTGTTATAAAATATCTTGTTTATTCCTTTATCTTGTCATGACATAATTACAAAATAGATTATAAATTTTAATTCATAAATTCATAATCTGATCATTCACACCTGCTACTTTTGCTAGATAGGCATATACGAACATTTGTAAATAGAATTTGGATGTCTTTCTGCCTCATTTGCAAAATGCCTGTTTATTGTGAGCAATTTCAATTTATAAAATTTTTTAAGAATCAATTTGGATTCCATTTTGAAAATATACTAGTGCCTTCCTCCCTAAGTTATAGTCAGTAAAATAAATTATTCTGACTTCATGGGAATCAACAAATAAATTGGTTTATAAATATAAGTTTAAGTTAACCCGCAAACCATACAATTCTCATTGACTCAGGAGCTACACAGGCGAGAGACCATTTAATACATGACCTGTATGAAAATATAGAAATAGAAGAAATTCACTGTGGCTAAAGAGCAAGGGTAGAAGCTAAGTTAATTAATAATATATGCTTGAAGCTTTTTAATAATTGAGAAAAAAGGTGATTTGCTATGCATGCTTACTTATATTCTGTTCTAAATCATGCCAGTAGCAAAGATATTACCTTGTTCCCCACCCAAATAGAGATTAACTATGTAATTAGTCTGAAAGTGTGTAGCCCAGTGAAAAAGCATACGAAAATGGAAAGAACATGAAGATTTTAGGGGCACACACACACATACACACACAATATAGTTTCAAATCCTTAGTCCAACATCATCTAGCTCTGAGATACTAAGACATTTTGTTGTTTTGAGTCTTAATTCTACCTCATATATTTTTATGAATATTGTTAAAAGTGCCTAGTATGAATTTGAGAGGTCACTTAGTCAATATCAGTTGAACCTGAATGTAATTTCAATTTTGATTTTTGCTTTTATTCTGTTACTAATATTTACTTATATCTAAATACTACTTTTAAACTTTCACAATAAGTTACTGAAGATTCTTGGATGTTAGTTTCTGTGATTTTCAACTTTTTGTGCCTCACTACACAGTTTTATATTTAGTAAAAAATGTGCTCCCAAGGTGTTTATTGTCTATATGACAAATTATAGATAAAGTTGATAACATACTAAAGTTTGAATTATAATAAGATAGAAATTATTTGCTTCAAATCCAGAGCAATCTGACAGTTATAGTTTAGTAATGGCCAACTTGCTTGTTTCGGATTATTTATTTCAATATAAATAATCAAAATTAGACCATAGAGATGAAGAATATGTTTGAGGGCACTGGAGAGCTATCAAAACACTGAGAATTTGCCAGACCAAGATGCAGAAAGAAGGCAAGAAGAAGGGCGGAGTTTGCCCTTTTCCCCATGAGGCAGTTACTAAGTACGACAGCAAAAATGGAGCTGAGATGTGAAGGCAGGAGGAAGGGCTTTCTTCAGTCTCCTAAATCTTGGGGGAATGGGGGAAAAGTTTAAGCTCGGAGACTTCCAGGGAGAAGATGATCTGGTTAAAAAAAAATCAGACTTTGGCTTATAACCCTAAAGGGTTACCCCTTTAGGGAGAAAAAGTGAGCCAGGGACTTAAATCTGACCTCAAATAATCTCGGCCTCTGATAGCATAAAGGCAAACCTAGCTGCCTAAAAAAAAGAAAAAAAAAACCCAACAAAACAAAAAACAAATAAACTCTTTCTGGAGGAACAGTACTATCCAGAGTTTGTAATTATTTGCATGATTTTTCATATATAATATCTGACACTTAATTTTAAAAAAGCATTTGAACAAGCTGGAAAAAATAACAGAATACCAAAAAAAGAAGACAATAAAGATCCAAAGGATATACAGTTATAAATAATCAGACATAGACTTTATAATAACTATCATTATCATTTTTAAGAAATTACAAGATTAAATATTCATAAGAGAATGGGAAACTTTAAAAAGTCTAATATAAATTATAGAACTAAATAATACATGATTTAAATAAAAAGCCCAAAGATTTAATACATGATTTAATAAAAAGCCCAAAATATTAGATACAGTTGAAAAGAACTTTTGTTAGCTGAAAAATAGGTAAAAAATATATCAATACACAGTGAGAAAGAAATTTTATTATTCCATTCTCACACTGCTATGAAGAAATACCAAGACAGGGTAATTTATAATGGAAAGAGGTGTAATTGACTCATAGTTCCATATTGCTTGGGAGGCCTCAGGAAACTTACAATCCTAGTGGAAGGTGAAGGGTGAGCAGGAACCTTCTTCACAGGGCGGCAAGATGGAGTGAGTGCCCAGTGAAGGGGGAAGCCCCTTGTAAAACCATTAGCTCTCATGAGAGCTCACTCACTATTATGATAACAGCATCAAGGAAACTGCCCCCATGATTCAATTATCTCCACCTGTTATACCCTCAACACGTGGGGACTATAAGTATTACAATTCAAGATAAGATTTGGGTGGGGACACAAAGCCTAACCATATCAAAAATTTTATGTAATATAGAAAAGAGGATAAGAAACATATATGATGTGGTAGGATGAACTAGTATATAAATAATAATAATTTGACTTACAGTAATTCAAATGGGAGAAGAGAATATCAAAATAATATGAGTATTCTGGGTATGCCATAAAGACAAAATGATTCTTTTCTACAAAACCATTTGCTGTTAATATTCTGATGGTGATAGACCTAGAGCCATGTGTAAATGACCAGTTTTAAGCCATACTAATTGAGAGACATGAAAATAACTATTCTTTTTTCTCTGCCTTCGGGCCTCTCATCTACACTACCAGCTGGTGGCAGTGTGTAGATGGCAGAAATGTGGTCCATACTAAAAAAGTTCTCATTTCCTTCAGGAATTCTGTGATGCGATCAAGAAATTTCAAGGGAAGACATTGTTAGCAGATGTGTTGTTCTACATTTGAACTATAAAGTACTTTGAATAGTTAATTTAACATGACCTGAAGTTGAAGTTTTTAAAATATTTTCCTGCATACTCTGGTTAAGAATTACAACATATCGGCCGGACGCGGTGGCTCATGCCTGTAATCCCAGCACTTTGGGAGGCCAAGGCAGGGGGATCACCTGAGGTCAGGAGTTCAAGACCAGCCTGGGCAACATGGTGAAACCTCGTCTCTGCTAAAAATACAAATATTAACTGGGCACGGTGGCACGTGCCTGTAATCCCAGCTACTCAGGAGGCTGAGGCAGGAGAATCGCTTGAGTCCGGGAGGTGGAGGTTGCGGTGAGCGAAGATTGTGCCATTGTACCACACCAGCCTGGGCGATAAAAGGAGAGTCTGTCTCAAAAAAAAAAAAAAAAAAAAAAAAAGAATTACAACATTTGAATTGGAAGCCAGAGTTCACACAAGCAGCACAATGGATGATGCAGCATCCTGAGTAATTATGTAGCTCAGCATTAAATAAAACAATACTATATATGAGATTTATGTTAAGTGAGTAGATTTTAGTCGTTCTTGCCACAAAAGCAAAAACAAAACAAAAAAAACAACAAAGTGAGATGATGTATATATTCATTTGCTTCACTATAGCAACGTTTTTACTATATCTATGTGTCTTATAACATCATGTTGTATACCTTAAATGTACACTATAAAATGTATTAAAATAAATAAGTAAATTGAATTAGTTGAAGAGAGAAGAAAATCTATATTGTTTCAATATGAATATCTATCCTAAATATCTTTAGTGTAGACAGCATGGCCAGAGATTTTTAAAAGAGAACATTTTATAATGGTAAAATTCAGTCAACCAGATATAAAAGATTTTAATATGTCTGAATATAGAAATATATTTTTAATTTCAGAAAACACAATTTGACAGAACTATGAAGAAAAATAATCCATAATCATTAGTGGGAGGTTTAACACACCTTTCTTAGTAAACTTTATGTTAAGAAGACAAAATCTGTACAGGAGCAGTAGACTATACCATATAACCTAGTGTGTAGTTGGCTATACCATCTAGGTTTGTGTAAGTACACCCAACGATGTTTGTACAAGGAATAAATTAAATTGCCTAACAATGCATTTCTCAGAACATATCCTCATCATTAAGTGACACGAAATTGTTTTTGTATATCTTCATCTGTGAAGTGCTATTCAATTGCCTTATGCATATTTTTGCTATGGTTCCTTTCTTTGCCTTATGACTTGAAGCATTTATTTATACCTTGTAGATGCAATCTCTTTGTCAAAGATACAAGTTAGAAATATATTTTCAATATTTACTTTTTTATTTAATTAATGTTGTTTTTAGAAGAAATATCTTTATGTTAATGCCATCAACATTTATCAATATTTTCTTTCTAATTAATGATTTACATGTTCTATTTGAGAAATATTTTCCTATATTGAAGTCTAAAAATATTTTTGTGTATTGTATTTCTAAAGCTTTTTTTACTTACCTTAACATTCAGACTTACACTCCAATGGAATTGATTTCAGTACAAGCCATAGATATAGATGTGTACATGAATACCAACTATTTCCAGCACCATTTATTGAAAAAAAAAAACACTGTTACTTTTCCTCTACTCTCAGGGTACATTTTGTATATTAAATATCCATGTACGTGTGCTGTCTTTCTCACATAGTGGGCTCATTATTTTGTTTCATTGGTCTAGTTGCTTATTTCTACACAAATACTGTGCTGTCTTAATGATAGTAACTTTACAAGAATTCTTAATACCCAATAGGGTCTAGTTTTCCCATTTTGTTCTTCTTATTCAATATTAATTTTGATTATTCTTGGTCCTTTGCCCTTCTACATGATTTTTAGTATTGGCTTGGCAATATTAACAAACTATTTTATTAGAGATTGAATTGGGTAAATCTGGTAGGATTTGGGCAAATGTGACATTATTACAATATTAAGTCTTGTATTATATTAAAATGGTACATTCCTCCACTTATGAAGGATTTGTATGGGAGAGTGCAGACTAGAAAAAGCAAATAGATCTTGTATCCAACAAAATTGCTTACAACCTGATTTGTTCTAAAATAATCATCTACAAATTATTTTGGATATTCTGCATACATAATGCTAATATCATAACAAATAGTATGGCAGTTTCATTTCATGCTTTAATCCATATAACTTTTGTTGAATTTTCCTTCTCTTAATGGACTATCCAGGGCTGCAAATATATATTGAATAAAAGTGTATACTCTGCCCATCCATTCTGTGTCCCTGAGATCAAAGAAAAAGCTTTCAACATTCCACCAAGTGTAATGCTTTCTCATTTTCATTTCTTGTGGCTATGTTGTATCAGAATGAAAATGATTCTTATTTTTAATTATGAATGAGTGTTTATAAATGGATTGTTCTGCATCCATTGCGATAATCCTCTGAGTTTTCTCATGCTATTATGGAGGGAAATTACAAAATAGTTGATATGGTTTGGATCTGTGTCCTCGCCCATATCTCATGTGGAATTGTAATCCCCAGTATTGGAGGTGGGGCCTGATGGGAGGTGATTGGACCATGAGGGTAGATTTCCCCCTTGATGCTGTCATTGTGATAGTGACATCTCATGAAATCTGGTTGTTTCAAAGTGTGTAGCACCTCCCCTTCTCACTCTTGCTCCTGCTCAGGCCATTTAAGATGCCTGCTTCCCCTTTGCCTTCTTCCATGTTGTAAGTTTCCTGAGGCCTCCTCAGAAGCAGAAGCCACTATGCCTCTTGCATAGGCTTCAGAACTGTGAGCCAATTAAACCTCTTTTCTTTAAAAATTACCCAGTCTCAGGTATTTCTTTATAGCAGTGCAAGAATGAACAAAAATTAAAAATTGGTACTGAGAAATGGGGCATTGCCATAAAGATATCTGAAAATGTTGAAGTGCCCTTGGACCTGGATAATGGGTATAGGTTGGAAGAGTTTGGAGGGCTCAGAAGAAAACAGGAAGATGAGGGAAAACTTGGAATTTCCTAGAGACTTGTTGAATGGTTGTAACCAAAATGCTGATAGTGATATGGACAATAAGTCCAGGCTGAGGAGGTCTCAGATAGAAATGAGGAACCTATCGGGAACTGGAGTAAAGGTCACTCTTGCTATGCTTTAGCAAAGGCCTGTCTGCATTGTGCCCCTGCTCTAGGGATCTATGGAACTTTGATCTTGAGAGTGATGAGTTAGGGTAACTGATGGAGGAAATTTTTCAGCAGCAAAGTGTTCAAGATGTTGCCTGGGTTCTTCTAAAAACCTATGCTTATATGCATGAGCAAAGAAATGATCTAAAACCAGAACTTATATTTAAAAAGGAAGCAAAGCATAAAAATTTGAAACATTTGCAGCCTGGCCATGTGGTAGAAAAGAAAAGCCCATTTTCAGGGAACAAATTCCAGCAGGCTGCAGAAATTTGCAGAAGTGAAAGGAAGGAAAGTACTGATAACCAAGTCAATGAAGAGAAGGCCTCAAAGACATTTCAGAGAACTTCATGGCAGCCTCTCCTACCACAGGCCCAGAGGCCTAATGGGGGAGAATTATTCTGTGGTCCAGGCCCAGGACCCTACTACCCCATGCAGCCTCAGGACACTGCTCCTGGCATCTCAGCCACTCCACTTCCAGCCATGGCTCAAAGGGACCCAGGTACAGCTAAAGCCACTGTTTCAGAGTGCTAGCCCTAAGCCTTGGTGGCTTCTACATGGTGTTAAGCCTGTGGGTACACAGAGTACAAGAATTAAGTCTTGGGAGCCTCTGCCTAGATTTCAGAGGACGTATGGAAAAGCCTGGATATACAGACAGAAGCCTGCTGCAGGGGTGGAGCCCTCATGGAGAACCTATACTAGGACAGTGAGGAGGAAAATTGTGGGGTTGGAGTCAGAGTCCTGACTGGGGCATTGCTCGATGGAGCTGTGAGAAGAGGGCCACCATCTTCCAGACCACAGAATTGTAGAGTCACTGACAGCAAACGCTGTGTACCTGTAAACACCCAGCCCTTGAGAACAGCAGTGAGGGCTGAATAGTGCAAAGCCAGAGGGGCAGAGCTGCTTAAGGCCTTGGGAGCCAACCCTTCACATCAGTGTGCCTGGATGTGAGACATGGGGTCAAAGTAGACTATTTTGGATCTTTAAGATTTAATGACTGCCTTGCTGTGTTTAAGACTTGCATGGGGCTTACAGCCCCTTTCTTTAGGACAATTTCTCCCATGTCAAATGGGAATATTTATCCAATGCCTATACCCCTATTATATCATAAAAGTAACTAACTTGGCCAGGCTTGGTGGCTCACACCTGTATTCCCAACTCTTTGGGAGGCCGAGGCCGGTGGATCATCTGAGATCAGGAGTTCAAGAACAGCCTGGCCAATATGGTGAAACCGCATCTCTACTAAAAATACGAAAAGATTAGCCAGGCATGGTGGCACGTGCCTGTAATTCTAGCTACTCAGGAGGCTGAGGCAGGAGAATTGCTGGAACCCGGAAGGTGGAGATTGCAGTGAGCTGAGATTGTGCCACTGCACTCCAGCCCGGGTGACAGAGAAAGACTCCATCTCAAAAAACAAAACAAAACAAACAAAAAACAAAAAAAAACATAAAAAGTAACTAACTTGTTTTTGATTTTCAGGTTCGTAGGTATAAGAGACTCACCTTGTCTCAGATAAGACTTTGGACTTTTGAGTTAATGCTGGAATGAGTTAAGGCTTTGGGGGAATGTTGGGAAGCCATGATTATCTTTTGAAATGTGAGAAGGACATGTGATTTGGGAGGGGTAAGGGGTGAAATGATATAGTTTGGATCTGTGTCCCCACTCAAATATCGTGTCAAATTGTAATCTACACTGTTGGAAATGGGGCTTAGTTGGAGGTGATTGGATCATGGAGGCAGATTTCCTCCTTGGTGCTGTCATCATGATAGTGAGTCCTTATGAGATCTGGTTGTTTAAATGTGTCCAACATGTTCCCTCTCTCTCTGGCCATGTAAGACGTGCTTTCCCTTTACCTCTGCCATGACTGTAAATTTCCTGTTGTCTCCACAGAAGCAGAAGATACTATGCTTCCTGAACAGCCTGCAGAACCATGAGCCAATTAAACCTCTTTTCTTAATAAATTACCCAGTCTCTGGTATTGCCTTATAGCAGTATGGAAATAGAAAAATACCCCTAACTTTACTTTCAGAACTAAACACAACTTGAATAATTGATATATTTTGCTATATTTTGTTTGCTTTGTTAAGATTTTAAAATTAATTTGTGAACGTGACTGGCCTATCATTTTTCTTTTTTGCAAGAGCTGTGTCATGCATTTCTTAATCAGCATTACGTTGGTCTAAAAATAAAGAAACTGACCTAATAGGCAGAGCATCTTTCATTTTCTTTCCAATTTATCTGAAAAAAGTGTAAAAGTTTGGCATTATTTCTTCCTTAACTATTCAGTACAATCTTCAGGTGAAGGTATTTGTGCATGGAATTATTAGTGGGATAATTTTAATTAAGAATACTGCTTTATTTATCCTCTATCATGCCACTTACCTATTTAAATATCATGGAAAACAAGAATAATACCACTTCTATTGCACACAGTGGTAATATTGCCCTTAGATTAGGCAAGGGGAAACTCTACCCTTAGTTACACAATGATCAATTAGTCCATTTGCCAGTAACAGTCTTTGTTTTAAACCTTAAAACTCCCTCCATCCCAGTAAATGCCTCAGTCTCATGCAGACCACAAAAGCTAGTTACCCTAGCATTGCCTACGTGGCAACTCTGAGTACTAAGGAGATCTATATATCAAGCATAAGAGCTATAAATTTGCTTTAGAATTGAAAGCAAAAAGAGGAAATAAAAAATTGCCAAGGTTAATAATATTTTTTTTAAAAAGGGAAATGAGTTATAAGCTGTGTCTAGTTGGGGTTCATACAAGAAAATAAGCTAAAACAATTTATGTTTTTATTTAAAGACATAATCTAAGAACATGTTTCTGAAATTGCAAAATGTCTTACATGTATATAATTAAGGGTGCATTATGTGCTGGGAAAACCAACCCAGAATGATTAACAATGAGAAAATTCTGCTAAGTTATTCAATTAAAAAGACAAACAGAATCCTGCAAAAAAAAAAAAAAAAAGGTGCAACTCTCTAGAAATTAATCTAAGGCTTAATATAATTTCAATCAAAATTCTAATGACTGTTTTTTTATTCAAATTAGCAATCTAATTCCAAATTTTATGGGAATGTGCAAAGAATGAGAGTTTAGACACGCCTGAAAAGTAATCAGAAAGCCTGACAACTAATATGAAATTATAGTAATTAAGCCTATTTTAGTATACATTTAGTTTTATGTAAGTATACTAACAGAGCAGAATAAATCCAAGATAGTACCCACCCATATATGGAAGCTTGATTTATAATAGGGATAAATAGAAAAAATGTTAGGCTTTTAAGTAAATGGTACTAACAGACAGTAACTGGTGCACCTTGAATAAGTAATTGATTGTAGGGTTAGAGAAGAGTAGATCCAAGATAACCTGGAATATTCTGTCAAGCCAGAAGATCAGATGGGAGCATGAAATGAATATGCAGGAACCAGATTGAGGAGATTCCAAGGCTCTCATGGGCCAAATCTGGGAGGATTTGAACAACAAAAATAATCAAGTCCAGTAATAAATTATAATAATTAATGTTGAAATATAATAATTAATGTAGAAATATAATAAATGTAGAAATTTGTGATTATTCAATAATGAATATATAAAAATAGATCATAAAAATGATACACACACACATACATACATATAGGAAAATGGAGGCTCTTGACTGCAGTAGAATACTGAAAGCTAACTACTAAATATGAAATGAGTCCTGGAGATGGAAAATTATCATATTGCTGTCATTATGGTAAAGCTGAGATCAGGCAAAAATCATCAGTGGATACCCTGTATAGGGAGAAATATTTATGAGGTCACAATATCTGCATGATGCTAACGTGTTCTCCCATTGACTCTTTACATTAGTTTTGAGAAACAGTTTAACAACAGCATTTAAAAAATATATGAATTGGCAGTGCAGAATGGGAGCAACACCTTTACCGATGCTTAACGTTACTATCATCAGTGACATCATGTGCCTGCTGATATGAAACCTTGAGACATACCACAGATGCATAAACTCATCCTAGTCAGGAGAAAATGTCAAAAACAAAATGAGGATTGTTTTCTTTAAAAAGGAGATGGACTTCAACTTCTTTGGGTATGACCATATTGCCAAAGACCAAGAATGGCTTTGAAAGTGTCAAGCTAAAGAGACATGACAGCTCTATAGTATCTGATCCAGAGGTTGGATTCTGTTACTAGAGTGGGAAAGTGCTATGTACAACATAATTAGGGGTCACCTGGGAAAAGTCGAATATGAGGAATAGACTAGATAAAAGTATAAATTCAATGTAAATTTGTAGATTCGATAACTACTGTGGTTATGTAAAATAATACCCTTATTATTAGGAAATATATATAGAATTATTTAGTGGTAAACAGTCATGAGGAATGTAATTGACGAACAGACATATCTATGTATATGTGTGCATGTATATATACACACATAATTTAGATATATGAATAATAGGGAAATGTAGGTAAATAATGTATTTGCTTTGTATTATTTTTATTTTCAGCAATACTCTTTAAATTTGAAATGATTTCCAAGTTAACATTTATTTTAAAAGTTGATAAATGATGCTAGAAAATATTCCAAATTTATTCAGGAAAAAAAGCTTTAGACTTTGGCACATAATAAACACAAATTGCATGTGTATTAAAGACTTAATGTGAAATAAAACATCATAAAATTTATATGACAATATGAATATTGCAGGATATTCATTGGTATCGCTGTAAATATTCCCTGCTAGGATTATAAGCTAGAAAACTCTTACATGTCCACCAAAAACATACACAAAAATGTTTAAATATTTATAGCTGCTCTATGGTAGTCCTATAAATAAAACAAAACTGGAAACAACTCAAACTCTGTCACCAATTAAACACATAATTTGTGGAATATATGCTCTATGGAATAGTATAAGGCATGTAAAATGCTTGTTTTTAAGCTGCAGGCATATATTGTTGTATTGTTCTTGGCTGTATTGTGCTTCACAGATCTTGCATTTTGTACAGACTGAAGGTTTGTGGCAATCCCACTTTAAAAAATTCTACCAGCACCTCTTTCCAACAGCATGTGGTCACTTCATATCTATGTACCACATTTTGGTAATTTTCTCAATATTTCAAACTTTTTCATTGTTGTTATTACATCTGTGATGATGATTTGTGATCAGTGATTTTTAATGTTACATTGTAATTGTTTTGGGGTATCAAGAACCATGCCCATATAAGAAGGTGAATGATCATCCCCCATTTCACTCCTTTCCTCAAGCCTCTCTATTTCCTCGAAACAAAAAATATTAAAAAGAGGACAACCAACCACCCTGCAATGGCCTCTAAGTATACAGATGAAAGACTCATATGTCTCTGGTGTTAAATCAAAAGCCAGAAATCATAAGCGAGAAAGGAACATCAAAAGCTGAGATAGGCTATAACTAGGCCTCTTGCATCAAACAGGCAAGTTGTGAATGCAAACGAAAAGCTCTAGAAGGAAATTAAAAGTGCCATTCCAGTGAATGCACAAATAATAAGAAAGCAAAACACTCTTATATTGCTGATATGTAGAAAGTTTTAGTGGCCTGGATAGAAGATCAAAGCAGCCACAACATTTCTTTAAGCCAAAAGCCTAATCAGAGCAAGGTCTTAACTCTCTTCAGTTCTATGAAGGCTGAGAGAGATGAGGCAACTGTAGATGAAAAGTTGGAGTTTAGCAAGGTTGGTTTGTGATGCTTAAGGAAAGAATCCTTCACTCTAACGCAAAAGCACAAGGTGAAGCAGCAAGTGCTGATGTAGAAGCTGCAGCCCGTTATCTAGATCTACCTAAAAGGTAATTGATGAAGTTGGATGAACTACACAATAGATTTTCTGTATAGATGAAACAGCCTTATATTGGAAGAAGATTTCATCTAGAACTTTCATAGCTGTAGAGGAGAAGTCAATGCCTGGCTTCATAGGAAAGGCTGACTCCTTGTTAGGAATGAATGCAGCTGGTAACTTTAAGTTGAAGCCAATGCTCATTTATAATTCTGAAAATCCTACATCTGCTCTACCTGTGCTTTACAAATTTAATAACAAAGCCTGGGTGACAGCACATCTGTTTATAGCATGGTTTACTGAATATTTTAAGCCCACTGTTGTGATGTACTGCTCAGAAAAAATGATTCCTTCCAAAATATCACCGCTCATTGACATTACACCTGGTCATCCAAGAGTCTTGATGGAGATGCAAGTTTAACGTTGTTTCCATGCCCGCTAACACAGTGTCCATTCTGCACCACGGATCAAGGAGTCATTTCAACTTTTAAGTAATATTATTTAAGAAATACTTTTTATTAGGCTATAGATTTCATAGATAGTGATTTCTCTGATGGATCTGGGAAAAGGAAATTGAAAACCTTCTGGAAAGGTTTCACCATTCCAAGTGCCTTTAAAACATTCATGATTCGTGGGAAGAGGTCAAAATATCAATAACAAGAGTTTAGAAGAAGTTGATTCCAGTCCTTATGGACGTCTTTGAGGAGTCCAAGGCAACAGTATAGAAGATCTCTGCAGATGTGAAAACAGCAAAAGAGCTAGACTCTGAAGTGGAACCAGAAGATTTGACTGAATTGCTGCAATGTCATGATAAAACTTGAATGGATGAAGAGCTACTTCTTAAGGATGAGCAAAGAAAGTGGTTTCTTGAAATGGAATCTATTCCTAAGACACTGTGAACATTCTTGAAATGACAATAAAGGATTTAGATTATATCAGCTTTGTTTGGCAAAACAGTGGTAGGTTTTGAGACAAGAGACCTCAATTTTGAAAGAAGTTCTATCAAGTAAAATGCTATCAAACAGCATCACATGCTGTAGATAAATCTTTCAGGAAAGGGAGAGTCAATTGATGTGGTAAGCTTCTTTCCTGTCTTATTTTAAGAAATGGCACAGCCACTCCAACCTTCATCAACTACCATCCTGATCAGTTAGCAGCCATCAGCATCAAGACAAGACCCTCCACATGCAAAAAAATTAAGACTACCTGAAGGCTCAGATGATCATTTGCATTTTTCAGCAATAAAGTATTTTTAAATTAAGATATGTGCATTGCTTTTATGACATAATGCTGTTGCCTGCTTATAGACTACAGTATCTTGTAAATATAACTTTTATATGCACTGAGAAACCAGAAAATGTATGTGAATCACCTTATTTTGGCATTTGTTTTATTGCAGTGGTCTAGAATATCTTCAAGGTGTCCTTGTACCTGCAACAATAAGGATGGATCTTAGAAACATGGGTTAAGGAAGACAACAAGAAAATTGCAGAAGAATTCATTCAGTATTATTTTTATTATATAAAACCCAGATCTGCACACACACGTGCATGCATATGCATTCATTGTGGGATAGCATGAAAACACACATGGTAAAACTATAGAGAAAAATATAAAATACAGGGAGGTGGAGAAGTGTGAAAGAAAGGGAAGGAGGTTGAGACATTCAAAGAGAAGCACAGAGGGGTTTCAGAGGTAATGATGAAATATTTCTAATTATACAATGGATAGTTGGAATTCAAATATGATGTTATCATTAAGTCTTTATCCTAAGGCAGATTGTATTTTCCATACCTGGACAAACCAACAGCAGCCCATACTACATTCTAATTACAATGTGGTGTTGAAACACTTCAGTAGAAAGGTAGTGTCTATGTTTCCTCTCTTTTATTCTGAGTGGAGCTTTGAATTTGCCTCCACCAATAGAGTTCCACTGCATACCATGATTTGACCACTGAGGCTAGGTCATAGTAGGTGATCTAACTCTTTCTCTCTTCCTCACCTCTCTCTCTCCCTTCCCCTATCTCTCTTTATCAAGGAATGTGCCTTTGAAGCCCTAAGCTGCCATATATATGGCTACTGTGAACACGCTGGCTACTGTGCTACAAAGATCACACGGAGAGAACAGATACAGAGAAACAGAGAGAGATTCCTGGGGAACCCTAGCTGCTTCAGTTCCTAGCTTTTGAGGCATCCCAAACCAGAGGCCAGATGCGTGAATGAATGAGCTCTTGGATGATGGCAGCTGCAACCTTTTAGTCTTCTAGCTGAGGCCCCACACACTGTAAAACAGAGAGAAAAAAAAACCCAGTGTCTTGTCTGAATTTCTGAAACACGAAATTTATGAGCATAATAAATGGTTGTTTTACACCACTGAGTTTTGAGATAATTTGTGCACGCATCCATAGTAACTGGTACATTGCCTTACCCTTTTGAAAATAGATTCCTTTGTATCAACTTCACTTCTGATAAAACAATTTTAAAAAGGCAATGGAACAAAGTGTACAGAATTTTGAGAACAAAAACATCCCACACACTGTATTCTCAGCAAATGTATTTTTTAGATGTAAAATCAAAATGAAACAAAGAATTTTAGGTAGGAAGGGGCTCTTTGAGACTTTATCAACTCATTGATTAAAGGTACAACATATGATTATTTCAGTACTTTGCTCAGGTAACTTGAAATATATTGTATGTAAATTAATTTGCAAATTATTAGGACATTTAAGAAATTATTTTATTGGTTGAGACAGAAAATCACTTAAGAAAACAAAATCTTTTGTATTAGTCTGTTTTCATGCTGCTGATAAAGACATACCCAAGACTGGGCAATTTACAAAAGAAAGAGACTTATCTGACTTACAGCTCCACCTGGCTGGGGAGGCCTCACAATCATGATGGAAGGCTAGGAGAAGCAAGTCACATCTTACATGGATGGCATCAAGCAAAGAGAGAGCTTGTGCAGAGAAACTCCAGCTGTTAAAATCATCAGATCATGAGACCAATTCACTATCCCGAGAACAGCACAGGAAAGACTCACCCCCATGGATCAATTACCTCCCACTACGTTCCTCCCACAACATGTGGGAATTGTGGGAGTTACAATTCAAGATGAGATTTGGTGGCAAGACAGCCAAACCATATCATTCCCCCAGCCCCTCCCAAATCTCATGTTCTCACATTTCAAAACCAATCATGTCTTTCCAACAGTCCCCCAGAGTCTCAACTCATTTCAGCATTAACTTAAAAATCCACAGTCCAAAGTGTCATCTGAGACAAGTCCCTTCCACCTATGAACCTGTGAAATCAAAAGCTAGTTACTTCCTAGATACAACAAGGGGTACAGGCATTTGGGTAAATACAGCTATTCCACATGGGAGAAATTGGACAAAACAAATGGGCTACAGGCCTCATACAGTCTGAAATCCAGTGGGGCAGTCAAATCTTGAAGTTCAAAATGATTTCCTTTGACTCCATGTCTCACATCCAGGTCACATTGATGCAAGAGGTGGATTCCTATCGTCTTGGGAAGCTCCTCCCATGTGGCTTTGAAGGATATAGATCCCCCCCCAGCTGCTTTCACAGGCTGTCATTGTTGGCAGCTTCTCCAGGTGCATGGTACAAGCTGTTGGTGGATCTAGCATTCTGGGGTCTGGAGGACTATGGCCCTCTTCTCACAGCTCCACCAGGTGGTGCCCCAGTATGGACACTGTGTGGGGGCTCCAACCCCACATTTCCCTTCCACAGTGCCCTAGCAGAGGTTCTCCATAAAAGTGCCTCCCCTGCAGCAAACTTCTGCTTGGACATCCAGGCATTTCTATACATCTTCTGAAATCTAGGTGGAGGTTCCCAAACCCCAATTCTTGACGTCTGTGTACTGGCAGGCTCAACCCTATATGGAAGCTGCCAAGGCTTGAGGCTTGCACCCTCTGAAGCCACAGCCCAAACTCTATATTGGTCCCTTTCAACATGGCTGGAGCAGCTGGGATGCAGGGAATCAAGTTCCTAGGTTGCACACAGCACTGTGACCCTGGGTCTGGTCCAGGAAACCACTTTTTCCTCCTAGGCCTCCAGGCCTGTGTTGGGAGGTGCTGCCATGAAGACCTCTGACATGCTTTGAAGATATTTTCCACATTATCTTGGGGATTAACATTTGGCTCCTCATTACTTATGCAAATTTCTGCAGCAGGCTTGAATTTCTCCTCAGTAAATGGCTTTTTCTTTTCTATTGCATTGTAAGGCTGCAAGTTTCCCTAATGTTTATACTCTGCTTTGCATATAAAACTGAATGCCTTTAACAGTGCCCAAGTTACCTCTTGAATGCTTTGCTGCTTAGAAATTTCTTCCACTAGATACTCTAAATCACCTCTCTCAAGTTTAAACTTTCACAAATCTCTAGGGCAGGGGCAAAATGCTGCCAGTCTCTTTGCTAAAACATAGGAAGAGTCACCTTTGCTCCAGTTCCCAACAAGTTCCTCATCTCCATCTGAGACCACCTCAGCCTGGATTTCATTGTCCATATCATTATCAGCATTTTGGTCAAAGCCATTCAACAAGTCTCTAGGGAGTTTCAAAATTTCTCACATTATCCCGTGTTTTTTTTGAGCCCTCCAAACTGTTCCAAGCTCGGCCTGTTACCCAGTTCCAAAGTTACTTCCACATTTTCATATATCTTTTCAGTAGTGCCTTATTCTACTGGTACCAATTTACTGTATTAGTCTGTTTTCATGCTGATGGCAAAGACGTACCTGAGACTGGGCAGTTTACAAAAGAAAGAGGTTTATTGGACTTACAGCTCCCACATGGCTGAGGAGGCCTCATAATCATGGCAGAAGGCAAGGAGGAGCAGCAAGTCACATCTTACATGGATGGAATCAGGCAAAGAGAGAGCTTGTGCAGAGAAAGTCCTGCTTTTAAAATCATCAGATCTTGTGAGACTCATTCACTATCATGAGAACAGCACAGGAAAGCCTGGTCTTCATGAATCAATGAACTCCCACCAGGTTCCTCCCATAACACACGGGAAGTGTGGGAGTTACAATTCAAGATGAGATTTGGATGGTGACACAGCCAAACCATGTCATCTGTCTTTCCTACTTCCTTCAACAAAATCCAGTTTTATTTTATGCCATTTCAAGCATAAACTATTCATGTTCAGGCAGTCTTAAAACTACCATCATCTTACAATTTATGCTTCTATCTCAATATTCTTGGCTCATGAGATTCTTGGCTAATGTAAATAACCTAATATCTTCCTGTTCCTTAATGATGTTCTATTAATTCTTTAATAAATAACTCAAAATATTTTATTATATTTGATGAAGATTTTCTTAATAATTTTAAAAAATAATAATGCTGCTTTTTAAAGAAACAACTGCTTGAACATCACAATTATACTAGTATGTGTGGTCATATCCTCTAATTGTCAGACAAAATACAGATTGATGCATTTATTATATATAATATTTATTATAATATTCTGTGTTTATTTACAGTATATCTTCAAACAAAAAAATTCCAAAGATGTGAAAAATTATGATACTATAATGTGTAACATCAAAGGCAGACATAAAATTTAATGTACAATAGAATATCATCCATGTAGAAAACTACACTATAAAGACTAGAGGAAAATACATTAAATGGTTGAACATGACAATCCGTGAGTATTGGGATTATAGTGATTAGTCATTCCCATCTTTAAAATTTTCTTGTCTTCTCTTTATCTTTTGCTATGTTCATGTATTATAAAAGTATTTTATTAATATATTTACTGTTATTTCTCCAAGACTGAAAAAAATCTTCTTTTCTTATTTATTTATTTATTTATTTTTGAGATGTACTGTCATGCTTGTCATCCAGGCTGAGTGCAATGGCGCGATCTCGGCTCACCACAACCTCTGCCTCCTGGATTCAAGCGATTCTCCTGCTTCAGCCTCCCGAGTAGCTGGGATTACAGGCATCCACCACCACGCTTGGCTAATTTTTTGTATATTTAATAGAGATGGGGTTTCACTATATTGGCCAAGCTGGTCTTGAACACCTGACCTCAGATTATCCACTTGCCTTGGCCTCCCAAAGTGCTGGGATTACAGGCATGAGCCATGCATCTGGCCTTTTTCTTTTTAATTAGAAAATTAATTTCAGGCTAGAGCAGGATAATTAATGGCATATTTATACTTTTTCCTGCATAAGTTCAGGATTTATTTATATTCTGAGAGTTTTTCCCATAAAATGATATTCTACAGTATACCAGTTTTGTTATCTATATTTTTAAGTGCATGCTTTCTCTACTGATTTAGCTTCTAATTCCTTAATGAAGTTAAATGAATATCAGTATTGATTAGGTTAGTCTAATAATAATAAAATATTGAGCATTCTTTACAGGCTAGTAGCACAGAGTATTTGACACTTTGTGTGCACATTTACATTATATTTCAAAAAATTCTTATGGCTCAGAAACTATTTTCATCACCATTTTAGAGATGAGGAACCTGACATTAAAAGTGTTAAGTACCTCACCAATGATCACTCATTAGTAAGTGGAAGAGCAGGATTCAAAGACAAGCTGGTGTGAATCTGGAAATAAAAATCTACAACACTCTGCCATATCCTATCCTTTGTATGCTTTGTATCTCCTCACTGTGCCTAGCATATCATCCTGTGCATAGTAGACACTTAATTAGTAATTGTGGGATGATTGATGGCATCATGTCTAACAATTAAAAAGAAACAAAAACGATTAACAAGTTTTGACTAATGTTCATAAGTGCATTTTATGTAATTTAATAGTGTATGAAATATTCTGGAATTTATCTTATTCAATAGAGAAAATGATACCCCTCTTAAATGCAGCAGCCCCTCTTGCATACTTCAATAGAAAGACTGCTTTTAATTTTACGAGTCAGGGCACCACTAAATATGTCTTTAAATTTTTCATTTTAAGTCCATTTTCCTTTTCTGCTCCAACAACATACTCTCTGAAAAGTGTAATTAAATCCCTATTTTCTAGAATAGCAGCAACAACAACAGCAAAAGACAAGTTGACATGGCAGGTCATCAACAAAAGAGAAACTGAATAACACTGTAGGTACCAGACATACCACATTATTCAAATCTAAATTACTTGCAAATGGCAGCTTTCCCTGTTATGAGTAATGAGAGGAGTAACATTCTCATTTATTCCAATAGGCAATGCTTTTCTGAGTGAATATGTGTGAACTGATGTAACTTCAAGTTTTTCTGTGGGTTTTCTCTATTGAACCATCTATTTCTTTTTGAGGAAGAATTCAGTCATTTCACTTATATCTAGAAAATAAATTTAAATATTTCTACCTTAAATAAAACTTATTTTCACTACATTATGATTAATTTATTAATTTAATTCTTACATGTTACTAGCGTATCAGGTAGAGTTGCAGAAAGTCCTGTGTAAGTACCTTATTCATAGATGACACGATTTACATGTACAGTCATGCACCATGTAACATTTTGGTCAACAAGGGACCACGTGCAAGATGATGGTCTCATAAATTTATAATGGACCTGAAAAATTCCTATTGCCTAGTGACATTGTGATGCTTAATACTGAGTGTCAGCTTGATTGGATTGAAGGATACAAAGTATTGATCCGGGGTGTGTCTGTGAGGGTGTGGCCAAAGAAGATTAACATTTCAGTCAGTGGGCTGGGAAAGGCAGATCCACCCTTAATCTGGATAGGCACAATCTAATCAGCTGCCAACAGGGTTAGAATACAAGCAGGCAGAAAAACGTGAAAAGAGAGCAACCATCAGTCCTGCAACTTATGGCAAGTGCCCTATACAAGTATATCTTTTAAATCATTTATACTGTATTTTTACTGTACCTTTTCTATGTTTAGATATATTTAGGTATTACAAATACTTATTATAGGGTTACAGTTTCCTACAGTATTCAGCATAGTCACCTGCTATACAGGTTTGTAGACTAGGAGCAATAGGTTCTACCATATAGCACAGGTGCGTAGTAGGCTATACCACCTACATTTGTGCAACTGATGTTCACACAACAACAAAATTGCCTAATAATGCATTTCCCAGAATATATCCTTGTCGTTAAGGGATGCATGACTATATTTGTAATATGAAAGGGGTCCTGAAAGTTGTAGTGAGAAAGTAGGAATGAATGAATGAATTTGATGGAACAGTAGCAAGCAATGTATGTGCAGAGCAGGCTTATGTGTGATAAGGAGGTTGGGGTAACATACATTAATGTTAGAAACACACTCATATATCTGTTAGGCCACAGCACACACGTGCTGCGTCATGGATAAGGGAAGCACCACACACAAGCTGTATTCTGCTGAGCCTCAGTTGACTCTATGGTAGTCTATGTACTGCAGCAACCAATTTTGTGGCTAATCTGATTTTCCATGGAGAAAATCTTCCTTGGCTGTTTCATATTGAAAAGGTTACATAAAGATTAAGCATGTGTTTTATTTTCAAGCATTCATTTTCTTTGAATTTCTAGACATTGTGTGTTGCAGCATTACCCACTCTAAAATTCAATATAAAAATGCTATTCAATTCAATAGCTTTACAATTGGGGTTAATTTTTTTGTATTACTATCCAATTTTTGAAAGTTATTCATATGAAGAAGCAATAAGAACATACTTTAAAAGTAATAAGCAAGTTGAATAAAGATGTCATATTTCTATCTAGAATGATTTTTGAATGACATATTGACTATTTAAAATTCATAATCCATGACTTCGGTTTCTGATCTAAAGATGGAAAAATGATACTCCTTTCATTTTTTCTATGGGATTTCACTCTCATATTGCAGAGGTTTAACTTGAATGTATATTTTGGGTGTCAAATGATCTCATCTGAAATGGTACAGGCATAACAATATATCTATAAAGCAGAGAATGGGGTTAAAGCTAGAGAAATTTTACTGCTAGTAACTATAGCGAGTTGCTCTTTCTTAATATATCAGTTGACATTTTGTGTGCAGAATTCATGCATTTCTAATAGTCCCCATAAAATGTCAGCATGTTCGGGAACGGTAAGCCGCTAGAGAAGTCTTCAGCAGCATATCCAGTGGCCCAGTGTTGCCCTCCTGCTAAGTCATTGCCCCAGTGACGTGTCACAGACAACTTTTCTGAAGAAGTGCAGTTGAACTCTAAATGCCAGCCACAATTCTATTCTCCACTTTCCCCTCTCCAAAAGTGAACTTGAAGGTCTGCTTTTTTTCTTTTTCAAAAACTTTGTACCATAGTGACAAAGTGAAAAGAAAGTTAAAATCTGCATTATATTATTTGATTTGAATGAGACTTTAAAAATTGCAATTGAATAAATCCATTTCATTATTAATCAAAACAACTCATTTGCCTGTAAAATCTTTTTCCTCCTTTCCCTCATGCACCAATCCTTTACACACACACACACACACACACACACACAGACACACTCATGCACCCACACACGGCTGATATATACAAAGGATTTTTTGAAGGGAAGAAAAGTTGAAACCACATAAAACTATAAAATTTGTTTTCAGCAACATTAATAATTCATTTTTGTTTGAAACCTAACTTCTGTGTAGTTAAAACTTACCTTCTCTAAGAAACTATTTTGATTCCCCTGTCTAGCCCCAGTCATTCTGATCTTTGAGTGGCAGCAAAGAATATTGCTTAGGCCTGGAGACAGAAGAGCCAGCCTGCCTGAATTGAATCCCAGTTCTATTCTTACAAGCCGTGAGACTGCATCATGTCCTTTCACCACTTACTTGAAACATGTGAATGATAATGTTAGCATAGAATTAATAATTTGGTTGCGAAGATTAAATACATTTATCAATGTAAAGCACATTAAATAGTTTCTGGCCCAAAATTAGACAACATAAGTCTGTGATTATTAATGTCACCTGTGCTTTCTTCCTGTCTTTTCAGAATATTATCTGCACTTGTAATTTTGCACTTCTCAGAGGCTCAGTTGGCATATATTTAGTTACAGATATTTGGAGGAGAAAGACAACATTTTCTTGAATTTTATGTCTTTCATAGTACTTGACATTGATTCAAGCACAGTAAGTCCTAGATTGAGAAAAAAATGCCTTAAACAGCACACAATTTAATAACATTCAGCTGCCAAATTAGGTACTTCTTCCATCTTAGCTGATGTGTATGTGTGTTACAGTTTATGTAAATATTTTTTTAAAAAAAGAAACCAAAAGCAGAAGAGAGAGAAAGAGAGAGCAAAATCTAACAGATTAAAAATGGTGAAAAGATTTTTAGCAATCTAGCAACTGAGAAGTAAATTTAGCCTACCCTCCTAGGCATTCACTATAAAACAGATTCATACTGACTTCTATATCCATGTCACTTAAAACAAATTGAAGTATTCATTCTTTGCAGAAATAAGAAGTTATTTCTTTTCTGATCCTATATTCTCAAGTAAAATTTATTCTATAATATAAAGACAAAAGCCGACACTGGTGAGCAAACCACAAGTCATTTGACTCGGGTTTTACAAAATACTGTGAACCATTTATAATGTGTTTACATATTAGATTTCAATTAAAAGCCAATGAATAATATGGGATGTCACCTAGTGAATAATTTTCTATGAACTTTTAAGTATATATGTTTGTATATTTTTGCTTTTTGCTGTCTAACTTGGTTTAGGTTTAGAACTTTGATAACAGAGAACAAAGAAAAGAGCTATAAATTGCCCTAACTCAGTATCAATCTTAAGTATGAATTTGGCAAGGTCTGAATAAGGGTTAATGCAAGAATCAGTTCTCTGGCAAGGACTTCTGATGAGCAATCCCATGGTGTTGATTGAAGGGGCTCCATAGGCTTCTGAGATGATAGCAGGGTGCACGTTCTGTTAGGGAATGGACAGCAACTGTATTGATGTCAGGTAGACACCACTGAATAGTCTCTGAGTGTTTTTCCCAAAAATAATGTAAATCCATGCAAATACCTAGTAGCATGCTACAGGAGGAAGAAAAGAAAACTAAAGTAACAACTACACCACCAGCACCAACACGAACTTTGGAGTGAGAAAACCAGCGTTTTCAACATAGCCCTGCACCAAAAATGCTTGAAGAAGTTATTTAATGCCACATTCTTTGTCCCAACCCAGGCTCAGCCTTTTTGATATGAATAAAAGAATTTTGGGAAGATTAAATGAAATAGCAAAGTTTAAGCCCTAATCCCTGATTCAATTTCTGACATGATAGATCCTAGGAATAATTAGTCATTTTCTCTTGGACCAAACTTCCTATGTATTTACTTTTTAAGTATTCAATATTGCTTCCTGGAAAGACAACTCTATATAGAGTACCATTCAGGATACCCTGATAATGATCTCTGTCCTTCTCTCTATATTGTGTTTGTATACGTTTGCATGTGTGTACGTGCATTCATTGTTTATGCAAATGTCAGACGTTTGCAATACTGGGAACTGGAGGAGGTAAAGCTCAGTTGAACGGAAGTAAAGATTTGATTTGCAGGCCAGCATGTTTTATGCAACTATTTAAACTAAACTACCTATATTCCTGTGCCACTTAGTTTGGAAAAAGAGAAGATATCAGGGGCAGAGAGAACCTCAAATTGCAGTCATGAGCAATATAATCGAATTTTATGTAAAAGCAGAATATCTTCATACTCTTCAAGATTCATAAACAGAGTATTTCATCAAGATTGACCCCACAGCTGTAACTGAAGCTAACACAGTGATTGGTTGGAAATCAACATAAGCTAGAAGAAAAGAGGAGCATGGCACTAGTTGTCTTCCCTAAAACATTCTCTCACGAAGTAATCAAATGTTTTATTTGTATATTGGAATGTATTTGACTGGAGATGTTAGCCTCTTGGCTATAGAAAGAAATGGACATCTGCATTTGGTAGCAGACCAAAGACTGCTCTTCCATTTTCAAGGTGTGTATGTTGATTCAGTGGCTTACTTACTGAAAGCTAGTTAATGTCCCAGGAGTCCATGAGGCTCTGTTTTGTTCAGCCTATCTAGTGGTTCCTAGCGTTGGCTGAACTGGGGAATGAGCCCTTGCCCTTTAAGGAACTTGCACTCGTAGGAATGAGAAGGTGACACCATATCCATCCACAAACGGGATAAAAAGGCGAGATCTCTGGAGCACATTTGGTTCTGTGACCATCATAGAAATTATTCTTGTTCCGCTGTTTTGCTGTTTTTTTTTTTTTTTTTTTTTTTCAATATATACAGGACTTGGGATATGGGATTTTGAAAAAACCTAAAAATGGCCGGAGGTACTTTAAGGGCTGGAATATCACATGCCTGTTTGTAACACTGAGCAGAATATTGTTCTGAAGCACATTCGGTCAGTTTTCCAAGGGTACTAGTTTATTTGAGTCAGTATAAATTTTGGCCTGTTTTTAAGTGTCTTGATCCTGAAATTCAACAATTCCTGAAATTCACTGTTTCAGTTTAAACACAGCCTTGATTAGCCTGGGGCTGTTAGTTAATACTATATTGAGGTGGAAGGGAAAAAATACCCAACAGATTTATTTACTTAAACAGGAGATTACAACTTTCAGCATCTAGAGTCCACACATTCTGTTGAGAGCAATTTCTTCCCAGAGCAAATGCTTGAGAATAGAATTTCTCAAGAAGATAATTTTTTTAGAAGCAAGGAATTAGAAAAGGGAAGGAATCATGTTAAATTTTCCTTAGCATCTTCCAGTGCATAATACATTAAAAAAAAATTGGGCAATCCTTACGTGGCCTCAGTAAAGGTCTATATTGTGACACTTGACCAGAAAATAAACACACACACAGATACAAACACACACACACACACACACACACACACACACACACACGTATTTATATATTTTAATGGAAGTAATTACGGGGAGGTTGTTTACTTGTGCTACAGTGGATAGAGCCTGGAGTTATTTGCCAGAAACCTGGGTTTTAATCTCAGCTCTGTCAATTATTAGCTGTATGACTCCAAGACTTTACTTAATCTGTCTGAGCCTCAGTTTTTACAGTATAAATATGAGATTTTCCATCACAAAGTTTTTCTGGGACAATATTCTCATGCATGTAAAAGTCCTCTGTGAATTGTGATAAATTTTACTAATTCACAATATCATCATCAATCATTTTGTAACAGATTATCTGTGATTGATAGAAACACATTTTTTAAAAATGTAATTTTAAGGCATACGGAAATCTTTCTTTACTTCCAAAATAAACAACTTGCAATTAACGGTACTTACAATTTTTATGACCCATGCCTATAAAGAAAATTCTGTTTTCCTAACTCAAATTCCATCAGTAGAAATGCTTAGTATGAAATTTGGTGCTTAAATATTCAGTGAATATTTTTCAAAAGCTACATAAATTGTCTTCTAAAATATAAATACATGTGAGGGGAGAAAATCAAAGACTCGAAAGGATTGCTGTCTTTGTGTCCTCTAACAATAAGCTTCTATCAAGAAGGATAATGAGTTTTTATATTTGCATAGCACCTGTTTAAGCCGACTCAAGCTGGGAAGGTAATGCACTTTGCGTCAATGGCCTCAGCCTGGAAGTACAGAGAACAATTTTGGGAACAATTTGAAAAATTTGCCTTTAATGTAGCTGAACCAGCTTCATATTTTGTTTCTGTGAATATGCTATTTTTAATATTTATTGTGGATGCTTACAGTACACAGAGCACACATCAAAAGTTTAAGTTTGGTTTTTGTTTTCTATTGAGACTATGGAGGTTAACAGATGCATTCATTTTCTATTCTTATAGGAGAAATTGTCACAATTATTCCTGGAATATGTTTAGAATGTTACCAATGGTGAAGTGTTTTATTTAAAGCAACATATATATATTTATTATAAATATATATATTTATATTTATAATAAATATATATTTATATTATATATATTTATAATAAATATATATTTATAATAAATATATATAAAATAAATATATATAATATATATAAATATATATATCATTATAATATATATTTATATATTATAATAAATATATATTATAATAATATATATATTTGTAATAATATATATTATAATAATATATATTATAATATATATTTATAATAATATATATTATAATAAATATATATTTATAATAATATATATTTATATATATTAAAATATAAATATATATATTTATATATATTAAAATTTGGATTTGATTATTGTTTAAGAGCAACCTGTCGCAGATACAATCACAAAAGCCATTGGGGATCAGCAAAATTTTGCAGCAATTTAAAAAACAAATCAAAAAAAACAAAAATCAAACAAAAAACTACTTACCTACTAATAGTAGATTCTCTTTCTATTCAAGTTGATAGCTTTCCTTAGCTTTACTATAGGGACTTTTATTAAGCAAATATCACCATTGTGTTTAACAAGTACTGTATTACAATTTATGAGCAGTTGAATTTTTATTATTCAAAGGAATCATATTTCAACCTTCTTCAATGGAAGTGACAGCTTGTGTCTGGTGGCCATTTTATCTTTTAGTCTTTTAAAATTCTTTTTTGAAATATATGTATTAGTGTCACTCATTTATGTAAGCTGGACTTAAATTGATCCACATTAATTTTAAGGTCAAAACGCTTGTAATTTATATTTATCTTTCAGGCAGTAGCAGTCAAAACTGGAGAGATACTGAAGTAAGCACATAAGGGTTCGGTATTAACCAGAACTGGGGTTGAATCTCAGTTCTGCTCTCTAGAGCTGTAAAAGCTGGATTTTTTTTATCTGTACACTAGGCAAAGTAGTACTTACCTTTTAAAACTCTAATAAAATTCAAATCAAATGTTGGTATTAAGTCTTGGCAAGGAGAAATTGCTGAACATATTACTTTTCATCCCATTGCCTAATTCTTCAGTAGATTAATTAGTAATTAGCAAACCTTATTATCTAGTACAATTTAACTGGAAATAATTATTTTTAGTATTACTGAAGTCCAGCTCAAAGTGTCATTTATAAATTTACTCTATAATTTATTTAACAAAATTATGTTTCATACTAATAAGCAACTATTAATGTTAAAGTCAAAGAGTTAACCATCATGTACTAATCAGGAGATTGTGCTAGGCTTAAGAATCTAATACAAAGGAAATTCTCATTATTAGAGGGTCAGAGGATTAATGAGACATTGTAGCCCATATCACTTAATAGATGGTTAGAACTTCATTCTCATTTTTTTGTGGGATCAGAAATCTGTAATTTATACCAGTTTCTCACGTGATGTTAACATGGTTGGCCAATAAACTATATTCTGAGATATATCCAAATACATCATAGATAATTCCCAACTAAACATAAGGTGGCACTAAAACATTCAGTGATATTCATTTGAAGTGCAAAAAGATTCCTGACTTAATAAATCAATATTTATAAAGTCACCATTCTGGGAAAGGCAGTCTGCCAAGTATAATCAAAGATGAAGAGATATCTAAGAATCTGTGCCAACCTTATTCTAGCTGGAAACACCGAAGTGTAAACAACAACTCATCAGATAATTTGTTTTTCATTGTGATTATAAAATTGTCACAGAGTTTAATGTCATTTTGCTTCATCTTTATATTACATGTTTATGCAAATGTTACCCAACCCAAGGAGTATAGACAATGCCATTCTAACCAGAGAAGAGGCATTTTTCTTATATCCATCAGTATATTATTAAATATTATCTCATCCTGATACAAATAGTCTTTACTGAATGTGGAAATTCAAGTTTTGAAAACATCTGCTTTGTGGAGTCTAGTTATACAGATGAATCTAAACCCTGAAATCTTGTTCAAACACCAAAATATTTATATTTGGGTTCTTGCCTTTTATTTTATTTTATTATTTTATTTTATTTATTTTTCAGACAGGGTCTCACTATGTCGCCCAGGCTGGAGTGCAGTGGTGCGATCTCCACTCACTGTAGTCTCAACCTTCCAGGCTCAAGTGATCCTCCCACCTCAGCCTCCTGAGTAGGTGGGATTACAGGTGTGTGGCACCCTGCCCTGCCCACCATCTGCCCCATCTCGATATCCCAAAGTGCTAAGTGTACAGGCATGAACCACCATGCCTGCTGGGTTCTTGCTTCTAAAATGAAAGTTTTACAGCTCTTAATTTGTCTCACAGCTTCTAGAAATCCAACATTTTTGTTGCAATCTTTTCAGATTCCTCAGATGGAGACAATTGTACCCCATTTACTGCTGAGACAACCCAATCAATTAAGCATCATTCTGTGAGATCCGGGCAGCAGAATCACACACACACACACACACACACACACACACACACACACACACACACAAACACACACACACACACACACACACGATCTCTCCTGGGAGAAAACTAAAGCGTTAGGTTGTTAAGTGATTTTGAGATGGGAGAGTTCCTTGGACACCCTCAAGGAACTTGCAACAGGGGTGTGGCTCCTATACCTGGCCACTGTGCTCAAACCCCTTGCTGGAGGGGGAGCAGCTGGTGAGCAGGTGCAGGAGCCAGGGAAAGTGCTTTTGGGCTCAGGCCCGACAGCTGCATCTAGGAGTGTGTTACAATTAATGCTGTTTTAGCTTTGCCATCTGGGGATGGCTTATGTGTTAAACAGCTCAGTGAAGAGTCAGTGTGACAGCGTTTTTTGGTTCCTGCACTCAGTGTATCCTGATTTCTCGTCTGGGATCCACTAACAATCAGGTCACAGAAACAGTTTGGAAGGTGATGAATGCAGAGGATTTCGTTAAGCAGTGGAAGTGGCTGTCAGTGGAAGGGGAGCTCGAAAGGGGTTGGTGCAGGAAGAAGGTGATCTTTCCCTGAAGCCCGGCCATCTCCAGCTGGGCTTCTCCGTGAAGTTGTGTGAAATTGTGGCATCTGAAGTTAAGTCTAGTTGCTTCTTCTCTCAATGTTCAGCAGCTTGTCTCTCTGCCAGCTGAGGTCTAGGGTATATATGGACACAGCATGGGGAGTGGGGTGGGCCAAAAAAGTAACATTTGGGTGGGAAAACAGGGATAACTGTTCTCAACAGGGCAGCAGTTTCCAGGCTTGAGAACTGAGTCTTTGGTAGGAAATCGCCCTCTTCTACCCAGTATTTCCCTGCCTCCTGTCCTTTAACTGAGATCAATTTAACTGAGATCACATGAACCATTAGTAAAAAAAAAAAAAATACAGTACTTGAACCTCATTCTTTGAACTCCAAATTCTGTAACCTCAGTTGCATAGGAAGATGTATGGGTTGTTGAATGGGGAATCACTTGATTTTATGAAAACTTGAATCAGGTTAATGCTAGCCAAAAATTTTTCTTGCAATTGTACATTCGATAACAAAATTAATGCAGTGTATTCAGAATTGTAAAATTGCATTTTAAAGTTCTGATTAAATTTCATGAGAACAGAAAGAAATGAAGATAACATTATCATAATGACATCTTATTAAATTTTTTTTGAAATTCTGATGGAAGGAGGCCTACCAGATTAAACCATTAAGGAAGATCATATTCCTTCTAGTCCTAGGGCTCTAGAGCTCTGCTTTACAAGATTTGATGTACTTTAAATAAACTCATGTCTCAAACTATCACAAATTTTCTTCGGGCTTTACCATCTAGATTAACAAACTATCTAACAATACTTCTATACAATGGAATAAGAATGTAAGCTATTCTCAAATATTGCCTCTCTAGTTGAAGATCTTGGTTCTTCAAAAGGAATTAAAGATGTTCATAAATCCACTGTTGAATCATTCAGCATTTCTAAGTAGCACAAACTATTTTGGATGCTGCATATAGAACATAAAAACTACTTTGTCCTTTCTATAAGTTCATATTTTCTGTCTAAATGTACAACACTAAATAAAGAATTACATGCAAAATACTTACATACAAGTCACTCCCAAGTATTATAGGATTATAGAGAATAGGATTTCAGTATGGTTTTAAGCAACAGTACTCTGGAATTGACTGCCCAAGTTCAAATCTTGGCTTTACTGCCTGCTAGCTGCTCAAGTTTGGAAATTTTAGTTTAACCCTCTGTGTCTCATTATTCTTATTTGTAAAACAGAGACTTTAGAAACTCTTGCTTCCATGAGCTTATAAGAGAACTGAAATAAATAACATATCTAACTTGCTCAAAACAGCACATTGAACATGGTTATGTCACAAAAACAGGGTATTAATGTTACATATAAAAGGCTTATTAAAAATCTTCGATAATGTTAACATCCAAGCAATCATAAATGACAGATGGGAATTGACCAGTAAAATTGTCCAAATGCACTTAAAATATGCAAACACATAGGAGAAAAGCAAGAGTGATAATGTCAGAGAATGGGAAACAAATTTGTATGGGAGCAAGCATAACAAAGATAGCGAAGTGTATACAGAGACATAAAGGAAGGTTCAGAAGAACTCTGAAAAGGCTAAAGCTTGTCTTGCAAAAATGTAACTTCCAACAAAGAATTGTCCTTTTCTTTATTTCAGCAAGAAAATGATCTTACGGTGCATTGCCGGAGAAGCATGCCTAGTCATGTATGGGTTTTCGTATCAACCCAGATGATAGAACATGCCAACTGCATTTCTACCGACAATTGCTGTATCTTGCCAGTGTTTCAAGAAATGGTTCTGGTTGCATTATGAAGGATAGGTTGGGGGTAAGAGCCTGAAGGGAAGGAGATAAATTTAAAATCTGCTGAAAGTGAATAAAAGCCCAACTTAAACCAGCGAATAGAGGAATAGCAAAGCTGAGGACAGATGTGAGACAGACAATTTTGACAGAAAATAAATATTATTTTTGTTGTTGACAAGATATGAAAGGGAGGGAAAGGAAAAAGTCAAAGATAATTCCTGCGTTTGGGGCTTTAGTAAGTAAGACAATGATAATGCTATATATAGCCAAGATTTAAAGGGATACAGTTTTAGAATATTGATATAAATTCCTTTGAAATTGTAGAACTGTTTAATTTATGAAGTATTTTATAAACATAATTGTTATTATGAAGTCATTATTATCTGAAATTTGTATTCAAATATCACTATTGCTATTACTACTATTCTGTTCTTGCCACATTAGAACTGTAACCATGGTGAAGCAGGCTCCCAAGGCTTGACTTTCTCAACAGCATTTTTAAAATTTTTTGCCTATGCCTCATTGATAAAATAGCCCAAAGATCAGGAAGTGGAGAGGCCATTGGTTGGTTATTGGTTCAATTAGCTAGTTGTTTGAGTGATGGCATGTTGCCAAGACAACTCTGGATCATTTTCGATATAAATGCCAGATGTACCTCCAGGTGGCTGTGGGTTTTCCAGCTCATCTTTCTTAGTGTTAATGCTAATAGTTGGTGTTTTCTATGGCTGGGTTGATATGAAAACCTATAGTAGATGCTCACCTCTGGCAATGTTTTCCATGGAGTTCATTGTGATAATAGTAATGTAAGATATCCTTCTCCTATGAAGTAGCTGGAAATAATAAATTGTTTTTTATTTGTTTGTTTATTTGCTTACTTGTTTTCTTTTTCGGACAATTGTGCTTGTGAACAGGACTAATGCAAATTTATCACCATTATATCCTAGTGCCTAGTTTCATAACTAGCATATTATTTAATGAACAAAACATGAAACCAATTGGTAGGTATGCAGATTTTCTTTAATAAATACCTTCTTTGAGCCAAATGAAACACATGTGGTATGAATAAAAAATATAAATGATTATGAAAAGAAAATATTTTCTTAAATCCACAATGTTGTTTAACACCCCAGGGAAAACTTTCTGCCCATCCAGAGATAAGCATGAGATACACAAACATATAAAATTTACGTGTGTGTATAAATATTTTTGACACAAATACATCTATATTTTGCATACTGTTCTGTACATTAATTTTTTCACTGAGCAAATATTAGATATTGCTCCCAATAATCCCATGGATTCATTTTATTCCTTTTGAATGGATCTAAGTATTTCATTTTAATAATGTTCCATTATTTAACGAGGACCCTGATGTCATTTCAAGCAAAGCAACAATGAATAAGACTGGCTGTTAGTCATCGAATGCACATGAATAGCACCCCCTTGGATAGAGAAAACACCAGGTGTGTGCACTGTCTGATCTGGACCCCACAAAGCTTCCACTTCTCCGAAGATACCTGAAAGGGCCAGGTAGCACAAGCAGCACAAGCTGTGGGTGGGAGATTTAACACGTCACTGGCGGAGCCTTTGTCCAAGGAGGCAGGAAATGAGAAAAAGCCAAAGGAAACAAAAAGTACTCTCAATATATAAAGAACTCCTCTAAATCTATTTTTTAAAGGCAAAATCAAATAGAAAATGGCCAAAAGCCTTAAACAGACACTTCAAAATAGTCAATATCCAACAGGAAATGAAAATTAAAATCATAAAGTACTACCACTAAGAAGCAATCAGAATGGATAAATTAAAACAGAAAATACCAAGTGATATTGACTAAGAGAAATTAGAAACACGACTATTCCAGAGCTGGTGATGGTAACTAATAAGTTGAGTCTGTAATATTTTCTTTGTCCAAAAAGGAAACAATATATTTTTAAAAAATTGATGACAGTATGAAAAAGGACAGAATGCCAATTTGAATGGAATTTTACTCACTGAATCTTAGTCGATGAGACTATCTAAATAAATAATCATATCAATGGATTATACTCCTCTGAATAAAATCATTTAGACTATTTAACTCCATGCAAGGGGGGCGAGAGATGATCTGCCTTGTCTCTGGGAATGGAGGCTATACTTGAGAGGTGGACAGTCACTTCTGCTAGAACAGACAGTTTAGAGGAATCTGTGAGCTGCAGGTTTCATCCAAATATTCCTATTTTAGAGCTCTTCTTCTTTCCAGTGAGGATCTTTGCTTTGTGCAGGACAAATGTAAGAGCTGTGAACCTAGCCTGTAGTGAGTTAAATTTTGTCTCCATAAAAATATGCCCGTGTCCATGCGTGGAGCAGGAGGCCATTTTCCTTAGCAAAGTAACACAGGAACAGAACCAAACACTGCATATTCTCACTTATAAGTGGGAGCTAAATGATGAGGACACAGACACAAGAAAGGAACAACACACACTGGGACCTACCAGAGGGTGGAGGGTGGGAGGAGGAAGAGAATCAGGAAAAATAGCTAATGGGTACTAGGCTTAATACTTGGGTGATGAAATAATCCATACAACAAACCTCCATGACACAAGTTTGCCTATGTAACAAATCTGCACATTACCCCTGCACTTAAAAGTAAAAAAAAAAAAAAAAAAAAAAAAGACCAACCCAACTTTACCCCAACTACTTTCCGACCCAAAGCCTATTAAACTAGACTCCTGGTCAAAAAAAAAAAAAAGAAAGAAAGAAATGCCCATGTTCTACCAAGCCTGTGAATGTAACATTGTTTGGAAAAAAAAAAGTCTATGCAGGTGTAATTAAGTTAAGGATCTTAAGATGAGATCATCATAGATTGTCCAGGTGGGTCTTAAATCCAATAACAAGTGTTTTTATAAGAGACATAGAAGAGAAGAGAAGGTCATATGAAGGCAGAGGCGGAGACTGGAGTCAGCAACCACAGCCAAGCAGTGCCACAACCATCAGACACTGGGCCAGGCAGGGAAGGAAGCTGTCCCACAACCTCTGGAGGAAGCGGGACCTAGCCCTACAGACTACTTAATTTGAATGCTGGCTTCCAGAACTGCCAGATAATAAATGTGTTTATTATAAGCAGAAATACAAATCCATTGAATAAAATATGAAAACACATGCATCCATAGCGCTCTACATAAATAAATCAATAAATTATAGAATAAATTATACTTAAAGATATTTCCACAGGATAGGATAAGAAAATATTAAAATCAGATCATTCTAGTGATTTGTTTTAAAAGTAATATAGAATTTGATCAACAGAATAAAGTCACCCTATGTCTTTATGAGAGCAATGAAATAATGCATTGAAAACCGAGTAAGAAAATCACTAGAAAAAAATACAGGCCAATTATTCTTATTAACATAAATAAAATATCCTAAATAAATATTAGGTATAAGAGTTAACTGTGAAGGTTTATCTCATGAATACAAGGTTAGTTCAACTAATATAAATCTAACAATATAATTCACCATAGTAAAACAATTACAGGAAAACTAACAGGTGCTTATTTCAATAGATAAAAATGAAAGCATCTAATAAAAGCCTATGTCTATCTATGATTGTAAAAAGATCTTAAGAAGGAATTTAACCCACTGATAATATGTACACATCTAAAAGCTACAGGAAGCATACTTAATCATAAATTTCATAAGCAGTTGATTTAAAGCAATAAATATCACTGCTCACTATTATTGTTTAACATAACTAGCCATATTTGATAATATAATAAGAAAGAAAATATAAGTACATTGTATAAATACAGAAAGTGGCAAGACTAAATTTAAATTTGGTAGAATTTTTTACTTGATATAATTATTTAAAACCAGAAGATTTAACTTATAAGCTAGTAGAACATGACAGAGTGCCTAGCAATTTGTCAGCTAGTGTTTCTTAACATAGTAAAGATGTTCTCACAAAGCTAAATTCTTTTCAATGCAATGACTACCAAATTCCCAAGAGACCTAACATCTTGATTCTAAAATGTATTTAAAATAATACATTCCCTCAAATATTGTTACATCTGTGTAGGGAAATAAAAATAGACATAAAAATAATAGGGAACAGAATGTGTTTCATACATATCTAAGGTATTTATATGTGATAAAATAGCTTCACAAATCTGTGGAGAGAGGGAGTATTATTTGATAAATAGTTGTAGACAATTTGGATTACCATTGTGATTTTTTTTTTGTGTGCTACACAAGAGATATTTCTGGCTTTCCATCTAGACCTATAGAAAGATTATATTGAAAGTAATGGCAAAAACTGCAATTACTTTTGCACCAACCTAAATTTCCACCTTGAATTTAGGATTGATCATTTAACTTGCCTTGTCCAATGCATTCCTGAATCAGTTATTTGTCAGAGACATGAAATATTCTGAGAATTTCTGGATCTCATGCCCACTCTGAAGCCAGGGGCTGAAGCAAGCCTCATATGAATCAATGATGCAGCCAGTGAGGAGAGGGAGATTCACTGATGTTAGGCTATAGAGAGTGTTTAAAACAGAGCTCATGTCTAATACATTGTCCACTCATCCAGAGAGTTCATAATTAACTCTGAATTTGCCCAGGTGTGACCTTGTTGAACTGTTTTTAACCAACAGATTGTATTAATGAACATCGGAAAAAGCTGTATGAAATTTAAGGTTATATTTACTAGAAAGATGTTATGATGTAACAGTACAATACATTCAACAATGACTTCTTTTTGAGAATTTATAGGAAATATTCAGCTTTCAACTCTAGGAAGAAATGTGCTTCTCTTGAGAAACTAACTCACGTTTGGACTGCCAACTCTGATTAGCATACTTTTTGTACTTTGGCTAGCAGAATTCTTACAGCCAAACTTGTGGTCTTTAAAGTATGTATACCAGACCTTCAGAAATGCATTTCTATTTCTTTGTTTACATTTTACTTTTGAAATTTTTTTAGCCTCATTTTTCTAACATAACAGAACAACGTATGAATTTGTCTAATTTTTAAAAAATTGCTTCTGGAAAAGACAAGGTTATAGATTAATATGCAATAATAGATAATATTATTATTTATGCATACTTGTGTTCTAGGAGCAAAAAAGATGGTTTTTTTTTTTCTAGAAACTGTCCTCAGAGCTCAGTCAAGGGCTATCAATCTCATCATTACACATGTGAAACAATCAACGCACAAAGATCAGGAAATTGTTCAAGGTCACAAGCTTCTAAATGGTAGAGCTGAGTTATGAGTTCATATACAGCCGTACCCCAAAGATGTCACACATTTAGTTCCAGACAACCATAATAAAATAAATATAGCCATAAAGCAAGCTGTGTAAAATTTTTGGTTTCATAGTATACATAAAAGTTATATTTATGCTATACTCTAGTTTATTAAGTATGCAATAGCATTATGTCTAAAAACAAATGTACATACCTTAATTGAAAAATACTTTATTGCTAAAAATGCTAATAATCCTCTGAGCCTTCAGGAAGTCATAAAATATTTTCGCATGTGGAGGTTCTTGCCTTGGTGCTGATGGCTGCTGACTGATCAGGATAGTGGTTATTAAAGGGTGGGGTGTCTGTGGCAATTTCTTAAAATAAGATGACAAAAAGTTTTCCACATCAACGGACTCTTTCTTTCACAAAAGATTTTCTGTAGCACATGATGGTGTTTACTTGCATTTTACTCAACAGTAGAACGTCTTTCAAATTTTGAGGCAATTATCCAAAAACCTACTGCTGCTTAATCAACCAAGTTTATAAAATACCCTAAATCTTTTATTGTCATTTCAACAATGTACATGACATCTTCATTAGGAATAAATTCCATCTCAAGAAACCACTTTCTTTGCTCATTGATAATAAGCAGCTCCTCACTGATTGAAATTTAATCATGGAATTGTAGCAATTAAGTCATACCTTCAGGATCCACTTCAAATTCTAGTTCTCTCACTATTTTCACTACATCTGCAGAGACTTCCTCCACTGAAGTCCTGAGCCCACTAAAGTCATTCATGACAGTTGGAATCAACTTCTTCCAAACTCCTATTATTGTTGTTATTTTGACCTTTTTTCATGAATTACTATTGTTTTTAATGGCATCTAAGATGATGAATCCTTTCCAGAAAGTTTTTAGTTTCCTTTGCCAACATCCATCAGAGGCATCACTACCTGTGGAATCCATAGTCTTATGAAATACATTTTTTTAATTAATTAATTTATTTTTATTATTATACTTTAAGTTTTAGGGTACATGTGCACAATGTGCAGGTTTGTTACATACGTATACACGTGCCATGTTCATGTGCTGCACCCATTAACTCATCATTTAGCATTAAGTATATCTCCTAATGCTATCCCTCCCTCCTCCCCCCACCCCACAACCGTCCCCAGTGTGTGATGTTCCCCTTCCTGTGTCCATGTGTTCTCATTGTTCAGTTCCCACCTATGAGTGAGAACATGCGGTGTTTGGTTTTTTGTCCTTGCGATAGTTTGCTGAGAATGATGGTTTCCAGCTTCATCCATGTCCCTAAAAAGGACATGAACTCATCATTTGTTATGGCTGCACAGTATTCCATGGTGTATATGTGCCACATTTTCTTAATCCAGTCTATCATTGTTGGACATTTGGGTTGGTTCCAAGTCTTTGCTATTGTGAATAGTGCCTCAATAAACATATGTGTGCATGTGTCTTTATAGCAGCATGATTTATAATCCTTTGGGTATATACCCACTAATGGGATGGCTGGGTCAAATGGTATTTCTCGTTCTAGATCCCTGAGGAATCACCACACCGACTTCCACAATGATTAAACTAGTTTACAGTCCCACCAACATTGTAAAAGTGTTCCTATTTCTCCACATCCTCTCCAGCACCTGTTATTTCCTGACTTTTTAACTGGTCATTCTAACTGGTTCTAATCTAACTGGTGTGAGATGGTATCGCCATTCTAACTGGTGTAAGATGGTATCTCATTGTGGCTTTGATTTGCATTTCTCTGATGGCCAGTGATGATGAGCATTTTTTCATGTGTTTTTTGGCTGCATAAATGTCTTCTTTTGAGAAGTGTCTGTTCATATCCTTCACCCACTTTTTGATGGGGTTGTTTGTTTTTTTCTTGTAAATTTGTTTGAGTTCATTGTAGATTCTGGATATTAGCCCTTTGTCAGATGAGTAGGTTGCAAAAATTTTCTCCCATTCTGTAGGTTGCCTGTTCACTCTGATGGTGGTTTCTTTTGCTGTGCAGAAGCTCCTTAGTTTAATTAGATCCGATTTGTCAATTTTGGCTTTTGTTGGCATTGCTTTTGGTGTTTTAGACATGAAGTCCTTGCTCATGCCTATGTCCTGAATGGTATTGCCTAGGTTTTCTTCTAGGGTTTTTATGGTTTTAGGTCTAACATTTAAGTCTTTAATCCATCTTGAAATACATTTCTTAAATAGTACGACTTGGAAGTCAAAGTTAATCATTAATCTATGGGCTACAGAATGGATGCTGTATTAGTATGCATGAAAACAACATTAATATCCTCATACATTTCTAAATGAGCTCTTGGGTTACTCGGTATAGTGTCAGTAAGCAGAAATATTTTGGAAGGAACTTTTTTTGAGAAGTAGGTCTCAAGAGTGGGCTTACAGTATTTGGTAAACCATGCTATAAACAGATGTACTGTCATCAAGGCTTATTGTTCCATTTATAGAGCATAGGCAAAGTAGATATAGGATTTTAGGAGTGGTAAATGAGCATCTACTTCAAATTAAAGTCACCAACTGCATTAGTCCCTGTATTAGTCTGTTCCAATGCTGCTAATAAAGACATATCTGAGACTGGTATTTTATAAAGAAAACAGGTTTAATGGACTCACAGTTTCACATGGCTGGGGAGGCCTTACAATATGAAGGAAGGCAAATGAGGAGCAAAGTCACGTTTTGCATGGTGGCAGGCAAGAGAGCTTGAACAGGGTAACTGCTTTTTATAAAACCATCGGATCTCATGAGACTTATTCACTATCATGAGAACAACATGGGAAAGACCCACCCCATGAGTCCATTATCTTTCACTAGCTCCCTCCCATAACGTGGGAATTATGGGAGCTACAATTCAAGATGAGATCTGGGTGGGGACACAGCCAAACTGTATCAGTCCCTAACAAGAGAGTCAGCCTTCTTTTTATCTTTTTTTTTTTTTTCCCAACTTTTAAGTTCAGGGATACGTGTGGAGGATGTGCAGGTTTGTTACATAAGTAAATGTGTGCCATAATGGTTTCCTGTACAGAGCCTTCCATTACCTAGGTATTAAGCCCAGCATCAATTAGCTATTCCTCTTAATACTCTCCCTTCTCCCAACCCCCCTTCAACAGGCCCCAGTGTGTTTTGTTCCCCCTGATATGTTCATGTGTTCTCATTACTCAGCTCCCACTTATAAGTGAGAACATGTGGTATTTGCTTTTCCATTCCTGCATTAGTATGCTGAGGATAATGTCTTCCAACTCCATCCATGTCCCTGAAAAGGACAGGATCTCATTCCTTTTTTTGGCTGAATAGTACTCCATGGTGTGAACATACGTTTTCTTTATTCAGTCTGTCATTGATGGGCATTTAGGTTGATTCCATGTCTTTGCTATTGTCTCTGCAATGAACATACACATGCATGTATCTTTGTAATAGAATGATTTATATTCCTTTGGGTATTGTATTAGTCCAATTTTATGCTGCTGATAAAGACATACCTCAGACTGGGCAATTTACAAAAGGAAGAGGTTTATTGGACTTACAGTTTCCACATGGCTGGGGAGGCCTCACAATCATGGCAAAAGGCAAAGAGGAGCAAGTCACATCTTACGTGGATGACGGCAAGCAAAGAAAACTTGTGCAGGGAAACTTGCATTTTTAAAACCATCAGATCTCATGAGATTCATTCACTATCATGAGAACAGCATAGAGAAGACCACCCATCCCATGATTCAGTCATCTCTCACTGGGTCCCTCCCACAAGATGTAGGAATTATGGGAGCTACAAGATGAGATTTGGGCGGGGACACAGAGCCAAGGCATATCAGGTATATTCCCAGTAATAGGACTGCTGGGTCGAATGGTATTGCTGCCTCTAGGTCTTTTAACTTCCAGCAGTTTCTACATCAACACCTGCTGCTTCACCTTGCACTTTTATGTTATACAGACATCTTCTTTCTTTAAACTCCGTGAACTTCCAACTTTTCTTCTTCAGCTTTTTCACATCTCTCGGCCTTCATAGACTTGAAGGGAGTTAGGACATGGCTCTAGATTAGGCTTTGGCTTAAGAGAATGTTGTGGCTGCTTTGGCCTATCCAGACCACAAAACATTCCTCATATCAGTAATATAAGCTGTTTTACTTTCTTATTATTTGTGTATTTACTGGAGGAGCATTTTCAATTTCCTTTAAGAAATTTTCCTTTATATTCATAACTTGGCTAAATATTTGGCATAAAAGAGACTTAGCTTTTAACTTACTTCAGCTTTTGATATGCCTTTCTCACTGGCTTAATCATTCTTAGCTTTTGATTTGAAGTAAAAGACGGGGGGCTCTTCCTTTCTATTGAACACTTAGAGGCCATTATGAGTCTATTATCTGTCCTAATTTCAATCTTGCTGTGTTTCATGTAATAGGGACGTCCAAAGAAAGAGAGAGATACAAAGAAATGGCAAGTCAGTAGATTGGTCAGAACACACAGAATTTATTGATTACGTTCACCATCTTAAGTGGTGTCCCTAAACAATTACAATACTAACATCCACCAAGATCACTGATCGCAGGTCACTCTAACAGATAAAATAATAATGAAAAATGCTTAAATTGAAATAATTAGCAAAATGAGATGCAGAGGCATGAAGTGAGCACATGCTGTTGGGAAAGCAGTGCTGATAGAGTTTCTGAACACAAGATTGCCACAGAACTTCAATTTGTAAAAAACACAGTATCTTAAAAGTTCAGCAAAGTGAAGCACAAATGAGGTATGCCTGTACTCTTACTCTGAGATTAACCACTTCACTCTTTTACCTCTTTGAGTGCTGCATACCTCACAGGTGTTTTATAATTGTGTTCTCAGCTCATAAATTGGCATTCCATAATACCTCATCAGCTCATAAATTTATACAGTTTGTAAAGCTACTGGGCATAACATTCTGGTGGATTAAAACAAAATAGACACAATCATCTCCCATTTAAAAAATATTAGAGTAGAAAAAATTGAACATGTTATAATTAACTATAATATAAAATTTGCATAATAATTATGTCATTTGCAAGGCTCATATAGAGAACTATTGATGCTGTGTGTAGTTGTGTGTGTGTGTGTGTGCATATGCATATGTTGGGGATATTTTGATTGCTTCTTGATGTTATCTATGCAAATGATCTTACTGAGGCTTCTAAAATGAAAAAGAAAGTTTCAATATGAGTAATATTAATTTGCATTCCTCTCTGTCCCCACTTTGCCCTATCCTCCTAGTTGGAATTCATAAATGTTTACAAAAATAGATACTTATGGATGGTTCACTATGTACTAGCTGTGGTCACTTGCTATGTATCACACATATCACCTCATTTCTCTCTCCCAAAATTCTTGTAGCAGCTTCATTTGTAAATAAAGGCTTCTAATATTTTAATAATTATAAAATATCAATCATGATTTTTTTCTGTAGAGTTCTAATGATATTCTCCTTTGAACTAACCCACATGATTTTGACTATTAAAACCAGATCAGGCTTACATTATTATCTAAGTAATTTTAAATATCTCTTCTTAGTGTCCTTTTAGATAACTCTGCTCCATTTTTTTTTCTTTTTGGTGATTTGGATTTTTTATATCATCTTGTTTGATAAGATAGCTCATCATTTTTATACACAAAGTCATTATATCCCATATGGTTTTGAAAAGCCCTCTGAATATTACCCCTCATCTCCGCTTCGGTGGTATCTAAAAAAATGTTTACCATTTTCTAGCCTGTTATCCTAATTTTATAGAAAAATACAATTTTTCAGAATATGTAGCTCCTAAAAGAAAGTGAAATTCACGTGGCAGTGTTAGAAACCGAAACTGATATATACACGGTAAAAAAATCTAGCTATTTTCCATTTTGCTGGGTAAAAACTGCCCCCCCCACCACAAAATATTATCAACATCTGTAACCCGATATCTACACTGAGTAACTATGAACTTAAGCATGAATTTTTAGTGAATTGTTATTCCTCAATATGGAAAAGCCAGTCTTATGTAAATCTCTAAATACTGCTAAAGTAAAAAGTTTTTATAAAATCCATAAACGTTACTTGCGTACAATAAGCAAGATATGTTTTGTGAAATTTCTCAATAGAGTCATATATAGCATGTGGCCACTCTAGCAGATCTCCTCGGTCTGTCATTACCTCAATGTTATGGAAATCTTCGCTTCATGCCTGTACTGGCTATCTCATTCATGCATTACGGTTAAAATTCTCTTTGTGTTTGTAGCCTGTCCTTGAAGGTGAGCTACTCTATTAAGCATTTTCAACCACATGTGACCTCTTCTGGGATGCCATGAATATAATTTCTTAATCCTCTATTAATGAAATGTGGAAGACAATAATAGCAAGTATACTTTCAGTGCAAGTGGGGCAGAATATTTGAAATCACATCTAGCCCAGAAAATTGTGGACATGCTATAATCTTATATTTGGCATGTGTAAATTGTCATATATTATATCTTCACATTTTACATATTCTCACTTTAAATTGTAGACACTTGAGGCCTTAACCTATATTACCTACAGTTTCAAGCTTTGACACAGACCGTACTGTGGAGTAATGTCTGAATAATATGTATATTCAAAATACAGGTTCATTCTTTCAAATACAATATGTTTTCAAATGTAAAATTGATGCAAAATTCAAGTGCTCACCTAGCATAAGTTTAGTCAGTGAGATTGTCCTATTTCTTTCTCTACCACAACTGAAGTAATGGCAATGTGACTAGAGAAATGGAATAGATAAGACAGTGACAAAATATAAAAATACTTGAAATAAATAAGGTTGGGTTCGCTCAAAAGTTACTGAACAAGCTGGAAAATTACTAATTTTAAAGTTTGCCAGTGATTCTGAATATATGGTATTTTCTATAGCCTTTCTTCTGTGGGGGGTATAATTATAGGTCATAGTATGCATTAAGTTGAACCATGTATAATTGCCATTTTGTAGGTCTAAAAGTGTAGAACAATGATAACTTCACATGATTCAATATAACACCTTATGCAGTATTTAGTGGGAAACAACTGAACACACGGCTTATAATTGGAAATACAAAAATACACCCTTAAACAATCTTTAAAAATGACCAATAGACTTGAGTTTCCTCATTTAGAATATTGAATTTAAGAATTATATGAAATTATAAGAATTTTAAAAATATGTAACTTTGTTTTCTCTAGATACATGCATTTTAAAGGAAATTATTTGAATGATGTTAAACGAGCTAAACATCAGTTTTTCAGTCTCTGAGGAGAAGAAAATATGTCACTTTTGTTTGTCAAATGCCAGTATTTTAGTTCAGTAAACCTATTTAAGGTACTATGATTTTATAGTTTTAATTAAGGACACAATTAAGCATAAACCATTAAAATTTGTCCTTGCAAATCTTCCAAAGAGAGAGCTGCTTTCAAACAACCGAATGTTCATAATCATCAATATGGAGAACAACAACGATTTGTTCATGTCTTTTGAATTTTGCATGTAACTAAAAGAACAAGATAATTACCTCCAACCTATTCCATTTATTCTCCACTGTAACTTTTCCGTATTTCCCCTTTCTCTCATGCAGTGAAAATTCCTGATGATTTACACACATGCCATGGCCTGAGTTTGAATAAGAAGCAACCCTAGAATTTAGACCCATCTCATTCTGTCTGGATGGCATAAGGGGTAGACTGGGAAATGGCAGGATTAAGGAGACTCTGGCAAATAAACCTAAAATGAGAAGAGAGACTTGATTCCAAAGGCTTGGAGCTAAGTACTGAGAATCAGAAAAACAGGGTTGTTTTGAGTTTTCCAATGATTGTTCTAGAGTTGTGTCTTAGGAATAGAGGTCTATGAGTAAAATCTCAGAGAAACGCTTGTTAATCATCAGTAACACAATGATCTTGTACTCTGGGATGAATTCAACAAAATGTGGCATAAAATATGTAAGAGGAATGCTCTGTACTTCAGAAAACAGTGTGCTCTTCTTCAGAGCACTGAGCAGTCATTACTGGGACTGGGCATTTGGGGCTGTGGCGAGGTAGTTGGCTCTATCTCTGACACCTATTAGCTGTGTGATGAGCACAGCTTGGCCTCTCCAGGTCTCAGTGTCCTCATTTCTAATTTCTAATGTAGGAATGGATAATTGTGGCATATTTAGGGAGGGGTGTGAACCTTAATTTGCAAACGCAGGACATTACGGACAGTACTTGACACATAGTAAACATTTAATAAATTTACAAGCATTTATTATTATGTACACTCAGCCTTTAGGCTTCTGGGCTGCAAAAGAAATGAGCAGCATTTTCCTCAGAAAGAGGGATTAGAGTTATCATTATGTGTGCCACAATGCAATCACAGGCCTTGAAAGACTGAGAAACTGGCAATGATAAATTCAGTCAAAGCTGTAAGAAATTGGTAGAAAAATAGTGTATTTTACTCAGTCATTGAGATGGATGTCTTCAATGCATACACAAGGCAGTTCATTGTTATTTTCTAAAAATAATTTGTGAATTAGAATTTGTGAGGAGCCTAGGTGTTGTTAATTTAAACGGACTGCAGACCCTGCACTTTACCTGAGGTCAGAAGCAGAGAAATACCATACTGTGTCTCTTGTTATAGTCTAGAGGTTGTTAAAAACATGGTTTTGTGTTTGAAGCCCAGATTTACTGCTTCCTATTATGTAATCATGAGTAACCTAAATAATCTTCCTTATTCTAGTCTCTGGGCTTAGTTCTGTCATCAGAAAAATGGGTAAGAACCATGATAATTTATCTATAAAAATTGTTGTGAGCTTTGAATGAGTAAATAAATTCCAAGTGATTATCATAGTTACACAAACTATTATTGAACATCTCAATAATGAATGAACAATATGAATGATGCTTCCTTAATGATGATAATTATGTTAAAGATGATGATGAAAGACAATTATATTGGACTGGCATAACCATGGAAACATAGCTATTATTAATAAGAACCCCTCTTTTAAACAATATTGTGCAGATATGATATTGCTTCCAAGGCACTGGGCTAGATAAATTGCAGATACATTAATTTACAGTTTTTAAAAAAGCAATATCAATCATTCAGGAGCCCACAGAGGAGTAGAGGAGACAAACACATATGCATCTAACGTATAGTGCATGGCCGAACGTGATTAGTTCTAGGAAGAATAGAATTAAAGTGCCTTGTGAGTATGGGAAGAAGCAAAGATGAGTTTCTATGAAATAAAGTCTAAAGACAGTGAGTTGTGGATTTAAGGGTGAATAGGACTTACCCAGGTAGTGATAATATCTGGCTGAAGTTGAGATTTTGGGAGGTTCAAAACTGTTGCCTTACAAGATAAAACACAGAATGCTCAGTTAAATCTAAATCTTAGATAAGCAACAATTTTTTTATATAAACATGTCCCAGTGATTTCACGGGACATAAACTTCCCCAAAAAATAAAACTAAAATTAAAAAAGTATTAAAATCAAATATAAATAGGCCTTTTGTATTTTTATTTATAAAATATGGAAACCATAAGTAGTTACAGCGTAGAGAGAAAGAACACTGAATCAGAGCTTTAAAGACAACTCTGTTAAACCAGAAACCGCTTCTAGCTCTTTGAACGTGCTCAAAGCAATCACTTCCTGTCTCTGACCATCAGTTTCTGCATCTGATGTAGATTAAGAGAGAGTTAAGAGATGATCTCTAAGTCCCTTTGCAGCTCTCCTGCTCTATGGATGTAAACATAATGCTTGGAATTTGAAGTAAATGATTTTTAAAATATGACTCTAATATTCATATTGATGTTCAACATGCACTATGTCAAAAACATAGCATTCATTACTTTTTATATTTTATCCATAACTCTGAAAACATTTTGAAATGTGCAAACTGAGATTCATTTTTTTTGTTTTTTTTAATTTTTGAGATGAAGTCTCACTCTGTCTCCCAGGCTGGAGTGCAGTGGCGCCATCTTGGCTCACTGCAACCTCTGCCTCCCGGGTTCAAGGGAGTCTCCTGTTTCAGCCTCCCACGTAGCTGGGACTACAGGCACCTGCCACTACGCCCAGCTAATTTTTGTATTTTTAGTAGAGACGGGGTTTCACCATATTGGCCAGGCTGGTCTCAAACTACTGATTTCAGGTGATCCACCCACCTTGGCCTCCCAAAGTGCTGGGATTACAGGCATGAGCCACCACTCCTGGCCTGTGATTCCAATGTCATTTGGCTAGAATTATACAGTTCATGAATTGAGGAATCAGATTTAATCTCTCTTCTTTCAAACTTCCACCACTTTTGTTACCCTTAACATTCTTAGGCTTTCCTTGAGTTTTCTTTTGGTATTTAAGATGAGTTGTTAGTAGAATCTAATAAAGTAGATAAATGTAAAATCAGATATTACATATTACTTTAAAACTGATTGTTAAAATATAATTATAAATTTTCACTAGAGGAGACACTAACAAAATATTTTTATCGTTTTTGCAATATCATTGCTGTTATACTAGTTTTAAAATAGACTTTCAAGGTTTTCTAGGGAAGGAGACCGGTGTCGAAATTTCCAATAAAAACTTGATTGTGTGATATAACACCTGTTTGAGTAGTGATAGATAGTTTCCAATAATTTTGAAAGCACATTTAGCCCTCATTCCACTGTATACACCACATTGATTTTATTTGAAATTTTGCAAAGGTGCTACCCAATCATTCTTTGTACTTAAGTTGAAGGGGAAAGCTGTAAGTTTCACTAAAGCATGACACTTCCAAGCATATATTCACAATATATATATTTTTTTCACATTTTTCCTTGAACACTTAACAGGTCAGTAGGCAAGATATTATAGAGACAGAGCACTTTTGTGTAATGCAAGTGTTTTAGAAGAAGATTGATGTCTGTCCTCATAAATTAGAAATTAGATAACGGCAAAAACAGCAGTGTAGCAACATTTTATTTCTTATTAAGAACTATGACAACAGCCAGGCATACCACAAAACTTTGCCAGCTACCAGGAAGCCTTTGTGATACGTACTTGGAGATGTTGTCAAACAGCATGATCATGAACATAGGTTTGGTCATGCCATCAGTGGGGTGAATATGAGGAGAGTTTTTTTTTTTTTTTTTCAGTTGAAAAAGCCAAAAGAGGGAAATATCTGTGAAAAGATACTGCATGGAAGGAAAAGAGAAACAGCCATCTTTTTCCTAAGTGTTCAGAGTCCTTTCACTCCACTGAGTGATGGACACGTACACAACTCTGACTGTTGATTTGTCCTGTGGGCAAAGAAGGATGAGGCTCTGAAGGGGTCAGTTAGGAGACAGTATCTGGAGGAAAGAGTAGGTGCCACACCACTGCAACATCCAGTGGTCTATCTTCCCAATCAGTTGGTGAGGCAGTGGGCTATTATTTGGAAGCGTGGAGACAGTGTTAGTGGTTCATTCAGACCACGGCCTTCAGGCCATATCATCCTGCTGCTCATTTTTGTATGGCCCATAAACAAAGAATGATTTTTACATTAGTATATACCTAAAATAATAATAATAATAACAGTATGAAATGCAATTCTTAGTGTCCATAAGTGAAATTTACTTAAAGCACAGGTATACTGATTCATTTACATGTCTGGCTACTTTTATAACATTGTGGCATGGCTGAGAAGTTGCAACTGGAACTGTATGGCCTATAATGCCTAAAATATTTATTATGTGCCCCTTTACAGAAAAACAGTTTGCAACACCTGCCCTAAGCATTGAATTAATGCTGTTTTATGATGAGTGCAAATATCAATGTATCTTTTGGTATTATCACTTTTCTGTATTTCAGGGATTCTCAGAATTATTGAGATGATGGATGGGGAAAGAAAAATGACATGAAACAAAAGCCAACACAATTACTTTTATATTGTTAAATAGTGATTTAGTCGTGTGATAGACAGGAGGAAACCTCCTGGCTTGGGGAATTGGGATAGCAGAGAATCTATCCTGGATATCCCAAAGGGCAGTTTGTCTTGATAGTGGTAACCAGAGCTAGGGTAGAACTTGGTCATTTCTAATTAAGTTCAATCCGTATATTACAGGCAGAGAGGACAGAAATCTGGCTTGCCAAGCCATTTAGTGCTATCTTCATTTTTTTTCTTGTCCTCGTCGAATCCCTGTCAAGTGTGTGCATATGTGATCATAGTCTCTCATCATTTACAATCCATGATCAAATCCCTCCCTGATGCTACTGAAACATTCCACAGCAATTATGCAGATGATTATTTGCCACAGCTAACAAAGTGGGAGAATTAACATTTGCTTTCAAAATATTATTAGCTGTGGGATCAGTTAAGTGAGAATATCTGAAGTACAACACTTGTTGTGTAACAGGTAACACTCAAAATGCTTTTGAATTATTTTATTTGATTTCTATGTTTTTGAGAAATATTTTCTCTTACTCTTATGGAAAACTTTAAGTGGCATTGGAATCCCATATTAATGAAAAGGAAATTGTGTCACAGTTTCTAAAGCTATACAACTAGCAGGTGATGTGGCCTGGTTTCTGAAGCAAGTCTTCTGACTCCAGAAACCAGTTCTTGACCAGCCTGATTATATTTATGTTCCTGGACATAATCCAGACTTAAGCTATATACCTTGATGGGGAATATGCTAGCAAAATTTGCAAACCTTTCTAGTATTTTTATTGACAAATGAGTTGTACCTCCTCCTCCTCCTCTTTCTTTTTCCTTTTTAATGCTCTCACTAGAAAACAAGTGAGGAGACAATAGGGAAAAAGCTAAAGAAAAACCTAGACTTGGAAGCTATGTGTGGGTGGACTCTAGAAAGCCTTTCCCTCTTGACCTTGTACTGAGAAGCATAGACCAAGTCTAGAAGGAATTATCTTAAGGAAGGTCTACTACACTCTCAGAAGGACTCACCAGCTGCAGAGCTCACTAGTGCTTGAACCTGAATACACTGTTGGGGTCCTAGGAGAAGCATGATCACCTCACTGAACAATGAACTGAAAGGATGCTTAGGGCCATTATTTGGCAGAATTCAACCCCAAATCATGTTTCAGTCATAGAATGTACCTAACAGTGAGATCACTCATATTTTTCCCTGGGACATCAGCCATGATTTAAAGGCAAATAAGTTAACCTTCTTCAAATTCCCACTAGAATGAAGAAATCTCCATCTCTGTGTAAAGGGGAAAGGCGAAACATTGTCATGCTTTTACAAACTGACCTCTTGATATTCCCTTGCTCCTTCTTTGTACAGATCACTACTAAAGACTTTAAATTCTACAAATTTAATCTAAGCAAAAAGTGCCAAAGAATTCAAATGTCTTTATTGTAATAGCTTCATATTCATTCTGCTACCCAATGATGTCATATAAATATACAAAACAATGAATTATTTTTACTCTACATTAGCTGCTTGGTTTTACTTTTGTAGTCGGGCACAGTGATTTCTCTTTAGATGCTGGGATGAGGTCAAGTCATTTCTTCTAACATCCTTCTACAAAGTCCTGTATTTTATGCTTCCAGGAGAAACCATTCCACTCCCATATCTGTACTTCTACTTTTCCTTGGACATTTTCTTTCCTTTACTCTGTAGCCAGAATTTTCTTTCTTTATTAACATATTTATCCCTAAATCAACTTTTTGGGGGATGAGATTTGATACATATACTATCTTTTTCAATCTCAATTTGAAATTGATCTGTACTCCATGAAACTCACCCAGTTTATACTCAGAGTTTTAATGAATTTCTGTGATAGTGCAAATATGAACACAATCCAGTTTTAGAACAATCTCATCATTCACAAATATTTTCTCATACTCTTAATCCCCACTCTGACCTCTGGTCCCAGACAACAACTAATATGCTTCCTGATATGTTTTTGATTTTTCAAAAAAAATGCATAAATAAAATCTTACACCAAGCGTTTCTGTGTCTAACTTCTTTCATTTTTCATGATGTTTGTGAGATTCACCCCTGCTGCTGAATGCGTTAGTAGTTTGTTCCTTTTGTTCTTCCTGTATTGCTGAGTAGTATTGCATTGCATGGCTATAGTACAACTTGTTAAACTGATTCAGGTTTTGCTATTATGAATAATACCACTATAGATAATGGCACAAAAGTGTTTGTGTGGATCTTTTTTTCATTTCTCTTAGGTAAAAAGTTACTAACAGAAGATCTATGATTTAACGTAAGTTGTCTACAATATTTTAAAGACTGAGAAAATTGTTTTCCAAAGTGGCTGTACAATTTTTAATTTAAAATGTCTCTAGAAATGCATGAGGGTTCTTCACATCTTTAGCATTCTAGTAGGCATATAATGTGTATGCTCTTTGCAGTTTTTGTATTCAATTACTTAATAACTAAAGGTGTTAAACATTTTTTCATCTGCTTACTTGACATTTGATTTTTATATTTTCTTTTTTGGAGTGTCTATGTAAGTTTCTTGCCCATTTTGTATTTTTTTTTGTCTTATTCTTCAGTTGTAATAGTATTTTATATATTCTGGATATAAGTTCTTTATCAATATATGTTTGCAAATGTATTCCTCAAGTTTATGGCTTTCATTTTAATTATCCCATAGTGTCTTTAGAGAAGAAAATGTTTCTAATTTTAAAGAAGTCAGTTTATCAATTATCATTTTTAATGGTTCATGCTTTTGTATTTCATATAAGAATATTTTGCCTAACCCAATGATAAGAAGATTTTCTCCTATGTTTCTTTTGGACATTTTATGGTTTCAAATTTACTTTTTGGTTTACTTTTAAGCCTATGACTTACTTGTAATTTGGGTAATATGTTGTAAAGTAAGGGTCAAAGTTCATTATTTTATACACATATATCCAATTGTTTCAAAACTGTAGAGGAAACTGTCATTTTTTAAATTGAATTGCTGTGGCACTTTTGTTGAATATCAGCTAATCATATGTGTGGATTTATTTTTGGTTTATTTCACCCTAATGCAAATAATAGACCATCTTGTTTACTGCAATTTTATAGTAGACTTAAATTAGTTAATAAAAATTCCACAATTTTTAAAAACAGTGTTGGCTATTCTGGACCATTTGCATTTCTTTATAACTTTTAGAATTTACTTGTCTGTTTCCAGAAAAAAAAAACCTGCTATGATTTTCTTGAGGATTGAATCTATAAATCATTTGGGTTATAATTTCCATTATAACAATAACATGTCTTACAATGTAAACACATGGTAATCTCCTAGTTAATTTTTTTAGCTATGTTTTGTAATTGTATTCTCATAATTTTTGGATGATATTGTGAAGGTTTTTAAACTTCATTTTTTGAATGCTTGTAATAGGTATATAGAACACAATTGATTTTTGTATGTTAACCTTTATTTTGTTACTGTGAAATTTACTTATTATTTGTAATAACTTTTTCATGGGTTTTTTTAGCGTTGGTCTTTATGTACATGACAATATTGTTTGTAAACTAAACAATTTTACTTCTTCACCAATCCATATGTATAAATTTATTTATTTTTGTCTCATTCCACTGGCTAGGACCTCCAGTATTAAGTTGAATAGAAGTCACAGAAATGGACATTTTGCCTTCTTAATAATCTTAGGTAGAAATCATTCAGTCTATTACTGTTTAGGATGAAGCTATTTCATATTTTTTCGTAGATGACCATTGTGAGTTTGCCTTCTGTTCCTATTCCACTGAGGGTTATCATGTATGTGCATTAGATTTTGACAATTTTCATCTACTGACATAATATAGATTTACCTTGTATTTTATTTATACAGTGATATATGTTGATTTTCAGGTGTTAGAGCAGTCTTTCATTGCGGAGATAAACCCTCTTTGGCCTTAGTATATTATTCTTTCTTATATATTGCTCTTCTGCAATGAGTTTTTAAAATTTAAAAGCTAATGTGTTATGCTACTAGAGAACATTGTCTGTAGCTTTTAGAATAAAAACTTTATTAATAAAATAAGTAGAAATATGTTCACTGTTGTTGCATTGTATAAAGTTATGCAGGATTAATATTATTTCTTTCTTAAATGTTTGATATAATTCCGGAGGTCAGGATTTGAATTTTCTTATTAGAATATATTTAATGAGTAAATAATTTTCTTCATTTAATAAAAGTTTGTTGAGATGGAGTATTATTCATTTGCAGCATTATGTTTATGCAACTCATCTAAGAGGTCTAAATATTTGGCAGAACATTGAGTATAATATTGCTGTATAACCCTTTTACTTTCTTAAGTATGTGTAATGATGTCCCCTTTTGCATTCTGGATGTTAATAATATGTATCTTATTTCCTTTTGTCATGAGCCGTCTGGCTAACTGAGACTACATCCTCAAGTCAGTGAAACTGCAGGTTGTATCACTTATTTTGAACCAGGTTTGCCTTTTCATCCAGAGAATCTGTGAGTGTTTACAGCCAGCCTCTTCTAGCACCACATGCCTCAGTAAAGCTGTGATTTTATCAACAAAGCTGCAGAGATGGGAGCACCCTCAGCCTAGAAGGCCACCAAATTCCTACCATTCTTACCTGGTGCAAAAGCAGTTTTTCAAGAATAAATTTTACCAGTTGGTTATCTGCCCTTGATTAGTTCCTAATTCCTAAAATGGTTGTTTTAAATAATTTTACATTTATTTGCTGTGGAGGGAAATTGTCCAACCTTTTCACGTCTCCATTGGTCAAACCTAGTTTTCTATCATATCATTTAAGACTAATAATAATATCTTTAAAATCCATATTAACTCTGTCTATAACATTCATTGAGCATGTAATAAGAGGATCTGAGGAAGGTATGTAACTCTGCCTGTTCTTTTGTAAGACAGAATCCCAGCAAGGACAGAGACATGTGGCCTGCGTCATCATTCTATGGAACTCTATGCCTGGACTTGTTGTGGAACATAAAGCTGGTATTCGTGATCCACACAAGACACTCTAAATGTTCTGATCCTGTCACCTTTTTCTCTGTATTATATCTTTCTTGCCGAGGCAGAAACATTAAATCTGTTCTTAATTCGATCATTTTAGCTTTAGGATCTGAGTTTCAGCTTGCTGCAGAGTGCTTCAGAAGTCTCTAATAGACACCACAATTTTTTCAGTCTGACTGTCCATTAGGAGTGACCACATGACTGAGTTTAAAACAAAAGGTTAATATGAAGAAGTAAAATTCACTAGTTCAAGTAAATTCTCTTAGAAACAAAGATATTTGCTATGGACCCTCTCTTTCCCTCTCCTGTTGTGTGGAAAGTGGAGCTGCTTGGAAAAGCTGTCTTAGATCCAGAAAAGAAAGCCACATATTGAGGTTGGCAGACCTTCCCTCTCAGACTGGGTCCCTGGATAACCTTATGAAACATAATCTTCTTCTTCCTAAACTGTACCATAAGACAAATTCTATTTCAGGAACGATTTGAAACAGTCACATAGCCAATACTCTTATGAATAAACTCACCCAATGCCACATTTCTACACCCCAAGCACTACACATACATGCAACAAATATTGTAAGCTCCTATGAAGCAGACACTATATTTTCTATTCCTGTATCATTACGAAAAGGTAGGAAAGTAAGCTAAGATTATTGTGCCCAATAGTAACATAGGAATAGTAGCTGTCAGATGATTTAAGGCCCAGAGTTAAGCAACCTTGGGGGATCTGTGCACATAGAGAAAAATGTGAATGATGCTTCTGGAATTGCACAACGTTGCAGACCTGATTGGTGTCATCTCATCAGCAAAGAAAGTACTATTTCAGGGAAAGACAGCCCTGACAGATCGTACACAGTACAGAACTCACTGTTACAGGTTGCTTTCACATATGTAATCTAAAACGCAAATTGCAGACATTTTTGTTCCTTATTCTTAGCCCTTCATGCTAAATGAGATTATTATCCACTTCTCAAGACAGCTAAAGAAATAGTAAAAGAACATTTAAAACAAGAACAAAAAAATAACGTTTACATTTATATACTTTAAAAAGAATTTCAATTATATTAGTTCTCAATTTTTAAAAATTGCATTATCCATTATTTTTGTTCAACAAAGATTCAGAAACTGGATAATACACGTCACAAAATGTGGAGGTTTTTCTGGCACCACAAAATAAATAAGGAACTCTCATTATGAAGTGGAGAGAAATATAAACATAATATAACAGGATTGAGGGTATAAAAGTTGAATTTGCAATGTGCAATGAGAGTAAAAAATGAGAAAAAGACTTAAAATTTACTCTGATGAGGAAAGGATAGCCTTATGAACAAAATAATAATTGAGCCAGAAGGTAAATAAATTATGGAATGTCCTATCAAGGAACACGGAAAGATGAAAACTTTAGGAAGAAAGGACAAGGTTCAGAATGGCAAGATGTGCAAAAAATATAGTGTGTGTGTGTGTGTGTATATATATATATACACACACACAAACACACATATATTTTTTTTTCAAAGAACAATACACTGTTTAGTAGGACAAGTTCTCGGGAACCAAATTGTATGTGTTTTAATCATACATTTACCACTTAATATTTGCATAATTTTGAGCAAGTTGTTTAATACTGAAGTTTCTTCATGTTTCACTTTCCTAATCTTTAAAATGGAATTAATAATATGTATTGCATAGGGTTTATGAGGACTAAATGAATAACCATATTTAAAGCATGTAGATCAGTGCCTGACCTTTTCTATAGTAAGCATTATTATTTTTATTAAGCAATAAAAAGCCTAGGTGTTATATTGGGATCAGAGAAGGAGTGTGTTTTTAAAAATTCTGCTGGTACTAGAATGGAGAAATCTAGTTAAGAAGCTATTGAAATAGTACAGCCAATTATACATTTACCAGCAACTTGGCAAAAACATAGTTTTGAAATATAAATGAATATTTATCATTTTAATTGAGTTATTTTTATTGTCTTCCTCTTCTTCATTTTCTCCACAAACCATTACACTTACATGAGCACTACATCACCATAACATTAATTGTACATTACAGTACCATTACACTTTTACTAAGCATATAGCTACTATGTATGTGACTTTGGGTTCCAAGGACTTTCACTAATGGACTTGTATTCAAGCTCATATTACCAGGTATGGAAGCGCACACACACACACACACACACACACACACACCAACAATGCACCTAACGGGAGGTGACACATATAGTTGATATTTCAACTATATCAATTTGACATTAATGTGGTCTACTTCAATAAGCTTTTTCTAAGTGTCCATGTATATAAGGCAAAATGATACATGCTGGGCTTTCAGAAATGATGGAAGCTTAGTCTCCATCAGCTATATTGTAGGTTGTGCAACCTACCTGGGCAGATAGATAAATAAGGAGAAAACCAGAATGCCAGTATGAAAATATCTTGTTATGTAGATGTAGGCAAACTGTAGGCAAGTAAGGCTTTTCACAGACTGTATCTGACTCTTAAGCATGAGGAATGCCAGTGGAATAGATCTAGGAGGGTGAGGCAAGGAGATGGAAGTGTATCCCAAGCAGACAGATATCCACTGAGATATTAAATCTGTGCCTTATTAGTTTTTTAATTTAGAGCAAGTCTCTTCACCAGTTCTACTTGGACTCTTTTTATAATTCTCAGTATCTTCATCATTACTACTTCCTCTGAATACCTTTTAAATATTTTGTTTCCTCAATAACCTTCTGTTTTCACATATCTCTTTTCTTTTGTTCCTCATCAATGCAGATACTTCCGCTCTATTGAGACACCTCTAACTGCAAATGAAACTTTGTTACCTTCAACTTTCACTGACATGTTAAAGTCAAACTGTGTCAAACTTACTCAACCTTTCTTTTCGAAATAGACCTAGCTCCCTGTATTCATTCTCTCAGCGAATGACACCACCTTCCAATCATCCACAAAAGTCAGAAATCAGAACGGTAACTTACAATTAACCCCACCTGTTCTTTATTCTTCCTCTTTGATCAGACAATCACCAAGTACGCCGGGTTATCCCCTTTTAATATCTCTCAACTTCTAACTTCCTCTTCATATTGGCTATAAATTTCTGCCTTAGGTTCACCTTTCATCTGTGCGATATAAATTTTTTTTGATTTTTTAAAAACTCTATTCCCTTCCAGTCTCAGTTTAATTTCCACAGAACTATTAGTGACTTTTCTAAAAATATGTATTTTGTTTTTGTTAAATATGTTAGCAAAATGTAACACATTTCATTACAAAGAATGTCACTGCTTTGCTATAACCCCTTTAATGATTTCCTGTAGCTTGTAAATTAATGTGCAACTTCCTCTGCCTGGCATGCAAGAAAGTGACATTTGGCTATCCCATCTCTTTAGCCACTTCCCTCTGCACTTTGTACATGAACTGTTCTCTGAACTACTGAAGTATATTCCCTCTCCCGATGTTACACTTTCATGCCTCTTGTTTTTGCCAACATTCTTCCTTCTTTCTGGAATGCCTTCCTCTTTTGTTTACTTTATAAATTCTCATTCTTCAGACCTTGCATTCAGTATCTCCTCTTTTAAAATATCTTCTGCTGCAACCCTGGGAGGATTATCGCATACCTTTGTGCTCTGGCAGTACTTTGCATATAGATACTTTCAATACAGAGATCATTTTTGTGACTTCCTTTTTCAGTACATCATAAGGTCCTTGATGATATGTACTATGCATTATTGTATGCTTCCTGAATATAAAATGTAGTGTCTGACACATGATTAATACTTAGTAAATTCTTCACAAATGCTTAGAGCTTTAATAAAACATGAAATTCTTTTCTTTCATATATTTTGTCTTAAGTTGTTAGTGTTGAGGGAAGAAATAAGATGTGATACTCCCTCTTATGCAAATTATAGTCTTCTTGGGAAAACACATGTAATTTATTTTAGGTAGAAATATCTTGAGAAAAAAACTAAGTGGGTCCTAGAAGATATCTTATATGCCATATGGTAGCTTATACCAATCAATGTCTAGCAAGAGACATATTCTTTCTTTTGTGGCACATAGAATCTCTGTTCATTAATCACTCACACTGTCTTCAGATATCTGATAGCCTATTACGTAAAAGAGCAAGGTGGATTTGTTCTATAGAGCATCAAGTGATGTTCAGAACCAGTGTTGAAAATGGCTAATCCAAACAGTTTTAAAATCTCACCTGAATACATTTGAACTAGTTTCCTTTAGAAAACAGTGAAGTGTTCAAGCAGGGTCTGAGTAAGTAACTACTTGGCAGAGATGTGGTAGAAGGGACACATCAGATGGGTCACTGGACAGTATTGCCATTCTATACAATCACAAAAAAATCTGAGATAAAAGGCACCTTAAAAGATATCAAATGAATTTTTCAAAAGGAAAACACATCTTTACAATGACTAAGTGGCAACGTGCTCCTGGATGTGACTGCTGCTCATGATGGTGCCCATTGAAGCATCAAAGCACTTCTTTTTTTTTTGTCACTGCTACCCATAAATTTGAAAATCTTGTCTAGGCTACTGATATGCAATCATTTTAGGTGATTTTCTATCTGGTGTGAGATTTAATGTAACAGCCCTGAAGAATACAATATAATCTTATTATGATAAACACATATATTTGTTGTTCTAAAATGACACCATTGGAATTCAATTACACACCAATCGCAGGTGTCTTTATGTTAGATTAGCTCAATTTATTTTGGTCATTTTGGCATCTTGGGTTTGCACCATTAACTGTTGTCTAAAACATGAAAAATCTAATGTCATGATGGCTAAGGATAAGCTGAGACCCCCATAAGAAACCTTTATTTCCCATCATTTATTATGTTCATTCTCCTATTTAATGAAGCTAGCTTTTATGTAATATTGGATCCAGTGTGAGAAAATGTATTACTGCCTGACTAGAGTAGCTCAGGCTTTTTACACAGCATAAGTGCACTAAAATCCAAGCTTCAAACTAGGATTCTTTCTCTGTTGGGTAAACTTTAATTATTGATCCTATTTAGGGTTCACCTTTTTGGTGAGACCTTGTATCTCCCATCTGCTCTCAAAATGAATCACTCTTCTTCTGTGTGATTCCCAGGGCACTATTACGTTTTTTTTTTAAATGTCATAATCATTATTTTTAGCAGTTTTGGGTTGATAGCATAATTGAGTGGAAAGTACAGACAGTCCACATCCATAGACAGCCTCCTCAGCTATCCACATCCCACATCACAGTAATGCAACTTGTTATAATCAAACCTTCATTGACACATAAGAGTCCCCGAAAGTCCATAGTTTATATTAGGATTCTCTCATGGTGTTATGTATAATGCTATGCATTCACACTTGTATTATCATACCCAATAGTCCCACTGCCCTAAAAATTTTCTGTGTTCTGCCTGTTCATCTTTCCTTTCTCCCTAATCCATGACAATTATTTTTGTTTTTACTCTCTTCATTTTTGCCTCTTACAGAATGCCATATAGTTGGAATATTGCTGCCTTTTCAGTTTGGCTTCTTTCACTTAGTGATGAACCTTTAAGTTCCTTCCATGTCTTGATAGCTCATTTCTTCTTAGGGCGGAGTGATATTCCATTGGCTAGACGCATCCCTGTTCATTTATCCATTCACCCACTAACGGACATATTGCTTCCAAGTTTTGAAAATTATGAATAGAGTTGCTATAAACTTACCTGTACAGGTTTTTGTGTGGATATAAGATTTTGATTCATTTAGGTCAATACCTAGGAGCATAATTCCTGGATTCGATGTAAGAGTATTTTTAGTTTTGTAAGAAACTGCCAAACTGTCTTCCAAAGTTGCTGTACCATTTTGCATTTTCACCTGCAATGGATAAGAGTTCCTGTTGCTCCATATCCTCTCCAGAATGTGGGGTTGTCAGTGTTTGGGATTTTGGCTATTTCAATAGGTGTGTAGTGCTATCTCATCCTTGTTTTAATTTGCATTTCCCTGATAGTATCTGATGTTTAACATCCTTTTACATGCTTACTTGACGTCTGAATACCTTTTTTGGTGAGGTATCTATTCTATCTATTCAGGTCTTTTGCCCAATTTTATAGTGTTCTTTTATTTTTTATTGTTCCTTATATATTTTGCATAATGGCCCTTTCTCAAAGGTATTCATCACAAATATTTCCTCCCAATCTCTGGCTTGTCTTCTCTCAATCTCATGAAATTGTATTTCACAGAGCAAAGTTTTGTTTTAATGAAGTCAAGCTTATTAATGATTTATTTTTGGTGTTGTATTTTAAAAAGTCACTTCTATACCCAAGATCATCTAGATTTTTTCTATGTTATCTTCTAAGATTTTACAGTTTTTTGTTGTACATTTAATAGGTATTATTCATTTTGAGTTTATTCTTTTGAATGGTGTCAGGTTTATGCCTAAAGTTATTTGCAGGTAGTTTTCTAGTTGTTACAATGCAAAGACTACCTTAACACACTTGTATTACCTTTGCTCCTTAAAAAAAGTATATATTTAAAAATATATATAAGCAAATATATATATATAATTATATATAATAATATATAAAATTTGTTTTGAGGCAGAGTATCGCTCTGTCTCCCAGGCTGGATATAATATATAATTTTAAATCTATAATTATATATTTATATACATTTAAAAGTTTATATATAACAAAGTATATTCCTACTTATTTATGTGTGTATCTGTATTTCTGGAGTCCTTATTCTGTTCCATTGGTCTGTGTGTCTGTTCTTTCACTAATCCTGCAGTTTCGTAATTACTGTAGCTTTATAGTAAGTCTGAACTCAGTTATTGTCAATATTCTGACTTTGTTCTTCTCCTTCGATTTTCTTATTTTTAAACTATTATTTATACTTTATCTTGTATTAGACTTTTTTCTAATGCAAAACAATCTTTAAAAAGTAGTGTTAATATATGTGATACTGTGTGAAGATTTAGAAACCCTGTCTGGTATAATCAAATTGAATTGGGAAGTCATTATAGGGAAAAGCCAGGATATAATCATTTTAAATATTTGCCAAATTCCCGGCATAGCATCGTAAACATTTTAGAGATGCTCAGTTGAAATTTCTGACAATGTGATACGATCTTTGTAGACATACAAGCTTTTATCTTCTTGCCTTCTGCTTCTCTTTTCATTTCTCTCCTTTCCTTTTGCTCTTCCCCACCTCCCCGCCCCCCCCCCCGCTTTTATTTAACTCCATCTTTCTTTCTTTTTTTTTTTAATCATTTAGTAGATGTTCTGCTGTGCTACCATGATCTGTCTTCAAGACTTATTGGCTGGTTCTGCCAGCGGCTGGGAGTGCTGCAGATCCTGTCCTCTTACAGGAGGCAGGGTCATTTGACAACTTGTTGGTGTGACAATATAAATACCTCACTCTCTCACCTCAACTTGAGAAAGTTCTGAAGGATGCTCTCATCCACGGAGCCCCAGGTGTGTCCTGGGGATTATAGTGGTTGCATCACTGTCCCACATTTTCCTCTACCCAACCCTGTTGTCTTCATTTCCTTACAAGTAGTGATTTCAAAGCCTGCCCTAATACACTTCCTCCACCCAATCTATCTCACAGTCTACTTTTTGGAGTATCAGATTTGCAACAGTCAGTGGCAGGATTTCTCTGACAAGGTAGAATCTAGAATGTGATTGGAGACAGATCAGTTGCCCATTGAAAGCCAACAAGTAAGGGAATCACTGATAGAATGACCCTGGCTTACTGTCACAGTGAAATCATCACAAATTTCACTATGGTGAAATAGGATGACATAAAGGAGAGAATACATATATTTGTGGTGTAGTTTATCATTCTTTAGGAAAATATTGGAGTAGTGATAATTATAAGGACAATTAAATTAAATTACTGGTGGTGGAGGCAGATGATGTCTTGGAGAAAGGAAACAAAAGGCTAAGAGGGATGACTGATAATTAATAAAAAGCTAGGTTTTAAAGCTAGACCACCCTCTTGACAACAGCTTTTTCAGGCAGAGGACAGAAAAAGCTAAAGATTAGGTGCATAATTTAGTCAGAGTAAGAAAGCAAAAGGCAGTATTGAATCCTCAATCTAGAATTGTCTGACATGCCATGTTCAGCATTTTTGGTGAAAGAAGAATGGGACCCAGAGCTACGTAATGGCAGATTCTGGATTGTTCCACTAAAAAGTCTTGAAATCTCAGATTCTCTTGAATCTTCCAAAATTTCAGAGGAGACTAACTTTCCCTGTCAAGGACAACTGTCCCCCTTTTGCATGAAGATGATGGAGAAGTCTCCACTCTCAAAGCAATGCATGTCTCTCTTAGAATTCAAACCCTCTTCCTCTCCTGACCAGCAGGCCAAAAACTAGGGTGATTCAAGTCACAGTTCAACTAGCTGGGGAAGTGTTGGTTCTAGAAACAGAAGAAAGGGTTCATATCCCCAGGAAATTGCAGGATCTAGCCAACTGTAGTGGCAAGAGCCAGCAGAGTATTTATGGGAAAGATTCTGATAGTGTCAGTTGAAGGGGAACAAAAGTTGGATAAGGGAGGCATTATTCATACGGGGGCATTCTCCCAGGACTCAGTGTTCAGCACCATGGCTAGGTCCCAGGGAGGCTGCCCTAATGTTCTGCTGAAATGACTCTTGGAAACTTGGGGAACTCATGGTGAAAACTAAATAATGTAGAAATGGCAAAACCAGCGAAGCTGATTATGAAAGAAAAGATTAAATGTTTTCCACCCATACAGGATTAAATGCAGTGGGAATTGTACCTAGTGGCAAAATCTATGAAAGGACCTTTTTTTGACATGGAACAATCAGGAGCAAATAACTGTGTTCCTAGAAAGGAAAGAAACAAATGGAGTGGCCCTATGATTGTACCAGCTTACTGACTGTAAACAGTTTCCAGGCTGTAGTATGGAAGGCAAACCCAAAAATATTCCAGTAGTCTTTCTGAGTTAAAGAGACAGAGATCTGAAATAGGAGAGGCTGAGGGAGCAAGATTTGTGGGGCAGAGTACTGAAGAAAAGGGAACTGCATGGTGATAAAGCTCTGATATCTGCAAAGAAACCTCTGAATCTTAGGACCCTATCTGCACACAGGAAATAAACTCAGTAAAGACTGAGCCAAACAACTTCAGAACACATAGGATGGGCAGGGGATATAAAAGTATATCTATGTAGGTCTTACACTGCTTGTCTGCCAGAATAACATGATCAGAATGAGGATTATGATAAGTTGAAGCTGCATATTATAAATCCTAGAACAGTCCCTATTCATTCACTGTGAAGATTCTGGCCTCCCACATCTTTATTATTTTCTGCTTACTTCATCGCCCTAACTGCTGGCACACTTCAGAGCTTTATGCAGACATTAAAAAACAAGGTAGGCGTTAAGGTCATTCTGCCATGTTTATGCTTGAGTGGAGGTGGTGCAACTCCCTGCTTTCTCAGCAAAAGCTTCTTCCTCTGGCAGGACCATAATTTTTCATTGCCTTTAAATTTCTTAACAATAGTTAATCTACTGAAGTATTACCTTAGCAAGACGTGGAAAGCTATTTCTCTTTCAAAAGTACATTTTATTGCTCAAATGTATCCAGTATATTTTACAGTAGACAATCAATAGACTTGAATGTTATTTCCTTTCTTTTAAGCAATAACAGCCTGTTAACATTAAAGCCTTTTATTTTCTTGGAATTTATTTGAAATTGATCTATCGCATCTACTGAAAAAATTAAACATTAAATTTCATCAGAAATTTCATTGACTATGTTATTCATAATTATTTTAAACCACTTTTATCTTAATACAACAACCTTTTAAAAATCATGTTTATGTTTTTCCACTTTTGCAAAGGTAGCACTTATTATGGCATAGGATTTAAGAGCACAAATTCGACAGTCAGATTTCCTAGTTCACATCTTCACTCTATCACTTACCTGTTATTCTAAATAACTGTGCCTAGTGTTTCTCATCCAAACAAATAAATAAAAAATTGTATCTAACTTAAAAAGTCATTTGAAGATTACACTTTGTAATACACACAAAGGGCTTAGAATTTGCATACATATTTTAAAACAATAAATATTACCTCTATATATCATATCTATACAAAGTCTAGCAATCACAGATAAAGAAAAAATGCCTTTATTCTTACCACATAGAGATAATAACTGCCAATATTTGTTCCTTTAGATTGTTTTGTTGATGAATATTTCAATAATACTTATACATAAATGCAAAATTTAAATGCTTATAAATATTATTGATGGGGACACTCTTCTAGCTTAAAAATATGTAAACATTCAGCATTATTTTCTTAGAAATTAATAGAAGTAAAATTTATGAGCATGACTAAGATTTTTGGACATGTTTTAAAATACATTCAAAAGTATTATAATTCAAAGTCTCATTAAGGTGTATCCATTACTTTTAACACATTGCCAACACTTGCATTAATATTTTAAAAAGATCAAACTACGTATTTGACTCAAGGGTGTAGAAAACTAAATTAATAATTATAATTATAATTGGAATATAGATAGTATACTTGAAAAATATATGGGTTAGATGTTACATTTGCTGATAATCAAAAAGTAAACTGTTGTGTAAAAAGCAGCCCTGTTCTTAGTTAATAAACTTGAAGTATTTAAGAAGTAAAGGGCTTTGATATATACAATTTACCCTCAAATGGTTCAGAAAATACATTTAAGTAGATGATACAAGATTAGGTGGAAAGAAGTAAAAAATTGATAGCAAATGGTAGAGCAAATGGAGTAAAATGCATTACCAATATGTGATTTTCTATGCAGGGTGTAGGGGCATTCCTTGCATTATTTGTTTTCTTGCAAAGTCTACAAATTTCTCATTATTTCCAAATAACGAGTTAAAAAATCATCATTTATAAATTACAAGGAAACGGTGAATAAAACCAGCACATATGTTATTTTTAAAAAGTACCGCAAATAAAGAACAATGTGGGTCATAACAACACAACAATAAAATGCATAAATCAACACTAGCTAACCTAAATATTTAAAAAAACTCACGCCAATAATAAAATAGAAATTAGAGTGAAAATAACTACAAATAAGTAAGTGATATACAGAATTGAAATAAATTTTATTATCAACCTGAGAGGTCTTGTGAAAATCTCTGTGAGACGGATAATTGTCTATAAAATTTTAAATCATCCAATGTTTGAGTCAAAGAGGGAAGGAAAATTTGAATAGACTGATTTTTATTGAAGAAATTGTGCTTTTGAAGAGCTGACTTAAAGGTCCAGATATTTGAAAGTTGAATTTATTCAAATCTTTAAGAGAGAGAGAATTTAGATACATTGAATTTTATAAAGAATAAGCTATAAAAACATGTTTTAACAAAGCCATAAAACAAAGAAAATACCTAACAAACATATAGTTGTGTTAATTTACTAGGGGGTACCATTACAAAATTTCAGATAATGTATTTTTTATCTCTAGAATTTACATACTAATCTTTATAGTGTCCATTTTTATGTTTTTCTGATATGGAATTTCTTACTTAATCTGTTATTTTATGTCATTTTTCATCATTTCCATTCTTTGTGATTCTGTTTCTGTTTATTCAAATTTATTCTTATTATGGATCATATTTCCCTGCCTCTTTGCATGTCTTATACATTTTTATGGGATTGCAAATATTGTGAGTTTTATGTTGTTGGGTGCTGGATTTTGTTGTATTTCTTTAAAGAGTGCAAGACTTTATTCAGTTGTATGGTTAAGTGATTTGTGATTAGCTAGATCATTTTCAGATTTTCGCTTAAGATTTGTCAGGATACCAGTCTTTCTTCTAGGAGTAATTTATTTAGGATAATCTAGAACACCCTTCTGCAAGCTTTCGCGGCTCTCCTTCTAAAGCACTCTCCTCTTCATTATTCAGCTCCACACATTCTAGCTGCTTCTGTCTCCCTGAAATCTAGTCTCTGCCTTCCCAAATTAGTAAGACTTCTGAGGTCTGAGTTCCCATCTCTATTCTTCAGCCTAGAAACTTGCTGCAAGTGCTAAGCTGGGCAATTTCTAGAGCTAAGGCTCAGTTTATTGTTTCTCCTTTCGTAGGAATCATGTTTTTGCAGTTAGACACTGCCTATTGTGCAATGTCTGAAAAGAGTTGTTTTGCATATTTTATTTCATTTTCTAGTTATTTTTCACAAGAAGACCGTTTTTGTAGCTGTTAACCCTTTATGAGCAGAAGCAGAAGACGTTCTACTTTTAAATGTTGGAGTGTTTCAAGCTATGTACTTAGTCTTGTCTTTTCTTTTTTAATTTATTTTTTATACTCTTTTCCCTAAATGATCTTAGTTAGCCCATTCACTTTCACTATTACTTATATACTGATGACTGGAGTGTATATTTTAAGAGCTCAGACTTTGCTCTCTGTTCCACTATATTCAACTGCCTACTTTACATCTCATTTAATAGCGCTCTCAGCATTATCATGACTGAAACAGAGCTATTGATTCCTTGGCCTGCAATAAATGAAACCAACATTCACACAGTGAGTTCCTAAGTTCCATTCTTGATTTCTCACTTTTTTCAACCAGCACATTCAGTCCATCAATAAATACTGAAGTCTCTGTCTCTAAAATATATGTTCTCTTTTTTTTTAACCATTTATCGCAATCTTTATTGCTACAGCCTTATTTAAGTCAACAAAATTAATCTGATAATGTCACTCCTCTCCTTAAAACTCTCTTTTAAAATACAATAAAATAAAATCCTTTTACCATGGTCCATAAAGCTTTCTGTGATCATCTAATTCTGTTCTTTTATTCTTCCCACTGACTATGATCAAGCCCCATTGGCTCCGTTTTATTTCTTGAACACATAAGCTTGCTTTCATCTCAGGGACTTCGTAATCACTCTTCCTCTCCTTCAAAACTCTTTTAGATTTTGGCATGGCAACATTTATAGAACAATTTATATAGGGGAAAATTTATACATATATCTTCCCTTTGTAGATGTACAAACAAACCATACTTCCCACTTTCTATAACATCCTCACTTTTACTGCCTATATATTTATCAAATTTATCAATACTTTCTTTTGTATTCATTTGTTATTTATTTTCTCTTTTCTCTAACTGGGATAAAAATTTCTCAAGTGTTGAGAGTTGATTTATTTTATTAATCAACACATTATCAGTCTTAGAAAAGTGCCTGGTACATAGCAGAAACTAACATACCTATTAAATATATGAATACATAAATAATAACATGTTATTGTGAATATACTATTTATGTATGCATGAAGAATTTTGATATAAAAACGTTACGGCAGCCAGGCGCGGTGGCTTACTCCTGTAATCCTAGCACTTTGGGAGGCCGAGGCGGGCGGATCACCAGGTCAGGAAATCGAGACCATCCTGGCCAACGTGGTGAAACCTCGTCTCTACTAAAAAATACAAAAATTAGCTGGGTGTGGTGGCGCGCACCTGTAATCCCAGCTACTTTGGAGGCTGAGGCAGGAGAATCGCTTGAACCCGGGAGGCGGAGCTTGTGGTGAGCCGAGATCGCGCCATTGCACTCCAGCCTGGGCAACAAGAGTGAAATTCTATCTCAAAGAAAAAAAAAATGTGTGTATATATATATATATACATATATATATATATGCAATGAAATTTGGTTTTGGTAGATATAAGAGTTGTGTCAGAAGCCTTCTGTTGATACATGAAAGAACTTTTTAAACAAAATGGTATTTTGTCTTTTGATTAAATAGACAATATTTAGATTAGGAAAATATTTAAACTATTTAAAATAGACTAAGACAGATGTGTTTTAGTTAGATGTGTACAATAATATTTTATAATTTAAATATTAATTTTAAAATGTAAAGATCCATGATCTGAGAGACCAGAATAGATGCAACTTTCTTAACTAAGACGGGTTCTAAGGTTAAGGGAACTAAAGTTACCTATAGTCAAGGGTTCAGGACCCCTCTGGCATGACAAATTTCTAAATTCCTAAGGCTTAACTCCCTAACAATAGGAGCTATCCGCTGTGATGCACAACCCAGACCATTATATCTCTGACTGGACAGAGGATCAGCCTTAAAACATTCTTTCATGATAAACAACAGTCGACCTTAAGCCAGTTTCATTCAACTAACAGAGGCTGTATATACGTTGTCTTTGTGTTCTACAGTTCACTTTTGACATAAAAAGCCAAACTCTAGCTCATTTTAATGCTAAAACCCCACCTCAAAATGAACATGGAATGTATGTTATATACATTTTTACCCATTATGCATGTGCCTGGCTCCCCTGGTAAATTTGCATAGCTTTTTTCCCAAATCTGCTGAATATGTATTAAACCAGCCCTGTGAGGCATAAACACCAACTGTTCTCTGAAGAAAGCACACCTTCTTTCTGCACTGAAGACTTTCTCTTCCAAGTTTTCAAATTGATTTGCCAATAAAGCTCTCTTTTCTACTATTTAGCCACACTGGTGGTCTTTTGGATGACAACATTTATTTAAATACACATTATATATTTCCTCTCATTATTTCCTGCTTTACAGCACAATGATAGATTAAAGAATAAAAACCTTTCTGGAGTGTTTTTAAAATAATATTTTATTTATATATGTTACATCGTAATCCCAAACTGTAACAATATGAAAGATGAGAGAAGTTTATAACTTATTTATACAACCTATATAACTTTTATTAACTTGTATGCTTTGTATTCCTTATATCTTTAAGACAGAGTTTGTAATTAGTTTAATTTGTATTTTACTATTTCTTATTCTCTGTTTACATGTTTCTAAAACTATTTTTTATTTGCTCAAATCCTAGGAAACAAGGCAAAATTCTGAATGAAATGGGAAGCTTCTATGACTATTTTGTGTTATTTATAAGTTTCTTGAAATGTACAATAGAAATACTTATTAAAAGACAACTTAAAATGAAATGGGTAAACACTATACAAGTTAACCAAGTCATAATTGCTGTCAGCTTTGTCAAATAGCATGGAGAGAATATAGCGAGGTATTCTAAGACATTTAGAGGACTATATTTATTTTTAATGTACATGATGTGGTTTGGCTCTGTCCCCACCCAAAATCTCATCTTGAATTATCATCTGAATAGTAATCCCCCTGTATTGGGGAAGGGACTTCATGGGAGGTGATTTGATCGTGGGGGCAATTCCCTCATGCTGTTCTTATGATAGTGAGGGAGGTCTCAGGAGATCTGATGGTTTTATAGGGGGCTTTCCACCCTTCGCTCTGCTCTTCTCTCTCCTACCACCATGTGAAAAAGGACGTGTTTGCTTCCCCTTCCGCCATAATCGTAAGCTTCCTGAGGCCTTCGCAGCCACGTGGAACTGTGACTCAGTTAAACCTCTTTCCTTTAGAAATTATCTAGTCTCAGGCACTTCTTTATAGCAGTGTGGGAAAGGACTAATACAGTACATTAGCTACTATATATGTTGAAACACAGTTTGTTAAAGAAAGAACAGGGACTTTGGATATAGGAGAGAAAACTGAAATTAAAAATTGAGATTTTCTACCTTTAGAATGGAGTCAATTTTATAATTATTTTTGAGCTTCAGTTTGTTTCTGTACAGTGTGCTATAGTATCTACCTCATCACATTCTTATAAAGATGAAATAAATAAATGAAAGGCAATCAGAAGAGGTCCAGGCACACACTTAAATACTCAATAAAGTTACATATATGTGTGTGTGTGTGTGTGTGTGTGTGTGTGTGTGTATTTATTTATTTATTACGGTTATCATCCATAAAATTTTTAAAATACCTACCAGGTAACTATTATGAAAATAAAAGAAAATGCCTATAAAAACATCCCTGAGTACATCATAAAATCCTACACAATAAAGCTATTTTTATGTACTGTAAAAGTCAGAAGTATTACACTGAAGAGCATCATAAGCTAAAAAATCTGTTTCTTTTCATTCTAAGATATCTTCTTGCTTTGTTCTTTAACAACATTGTTTCTTGTATTATTACTGCTAAAGACTTTCATTGTAGGACATTCCAAAATATTCATTCGACAAGCAAAAATTTGTTTACATATCCACTCATTGTATGGTTTTACTTGTTTTATAACCACCCATTTATTTATTCATATATTAATTCTTTCAACATATATTTATTGATCTAGCAATTTATTCTATACACTGTGAGGAGCTAGAAATACCAGAAGAAACAAAAAGTAAATGTCCCTGCCTTTGTGCATTTTATATTTTATAAAATGTACTATCTTTATCTCTATCCAGTAATTAAATAAGTTTAATGACAAATCACCAGGAACGTTACTTTGAATAAGAGAGTAAGAAAAGGCCTTTCTGGAGTAAGTGAAATTCTAAATAAATTGAACAAGATGATTGAGACATACTCCTCGTCTATGGTCTGGTGGGCAAGAAACGTGTCTTATAATAATAATTTAATAATGATGAATTATTCTCACTGGTATAATTACTGTGACAGTGTGTTAAATTGAAAGTTTTGAATGCAGTGCCAGAATATGATAAATATCAGATACCAAATCAGTTGTGAGACGGATCAAAGTGCAGTTTTCAAGGGAAATATATATTAATGAGTTTCATAAGCCCTTAAACCTCTCATACATTTCAAGAGTGGGAAAAAGTTGTTTTAATTTTAAGAGGATGATTTTAGGAAGAGGAATTTCATAGATATTATGGGAATTCTACCTAAAAACTTTGGAGAAAGGACCAAAAACTGGGCTTTGGAGGTTAAGTGATTATTTTTGGGTAGGCAGGGGCAGGAGGTGGGAGTGGAGAGAAAGGGCATTTCAAGAAATAATAAGTTATGTGAACTCAGACATAAATAAGAATTGGTACTTTTGCAGCAATGTAATCAGGTATAATGTCCAGGGTATCAGAGGCTGAGATCTGAAATGATGGCTGGAGTCAGGTTCTAGAGAGTATAGTGATCTCTAGGCAATTTTATCTATAGGTATGGGAAACCATTAACAGTCATGGAAGTAACAGGAATTTCAGGATATTTGTAGCATATCCCTAGAGTATGGTATTTAATGTCTAAAGCAATGTCCACAAGAGTTTCAATAGTCTCTGTAAATTAAACATACTGGAAACTTCTGGCCTAACTTTTTGTTTTTCATTCATATTTATCTCAGGCTACCTTTAGGGATTTGGATCAGGCACTGTAGGGTTCTTCAAGGAACTTGAAGAATAAATCCTGTAGTCTACTAATGCAATGGACTCCAATGAAGACGATTAAACGGCCCTCCTTCTCCACAAAACAATGATCACAGAAAAAAATACAAATAAAATAATTGGATAGTTGAGATCTCATCGCTGACTGCATATGACACCAGGAACCATATTTTATAAAATTTGTGTTCAGAATACATCATTCCCCTTTTTCAATGAGAGCTTTTTTGTCCTTTAGTAAAAATTATGTGGAAAGGAAAACTATCAATTAAATGCACCTATAATTGCTCAAACTTAAAATAATTACTTATATCTTCGTGTATTTATTTTGTATTTATTACATGCATTCAGATATTTTGTAGATGAAATCATAATTTATTCATTCATAAATCTTGCCCCATATTGAACATTTAGGCTAGATCACAATTCTTTATTATAGAAATGCTACAATGTATATGTACTCATTATTCATTCTTTTAACAAATATTCATTGAATACCCACACACATAATACTGTTATAGATGGTGATAACACAAGTATCCCAACTTCATAAAGCTTAAATTCTAAAGGTCAAAGAACATCAATAAATAAAGAAATAAGCATTAATCTCCCTTCTGCCCTTTACACAAGGCAACTACTCTACTGACTTTTACCATCAGAGACTAGTACTGTCTGTCGTAGAACTTTATACAGATGGAATCATACAACACGCACATTGCCTTTGGCTTGTTTCATTCAGCCTAATATTACCTATATTTATATATATTATTGTGTATTAGCAGTCTTTTTCTATTTATTTTTGAGTGGTATTCTATTTTGTAAATACATCACATGTTTATCTCTTCACTTTTAAAGGCTATTTGACTTTTACCAATTTGGGTATTACAAATAAAACTATAAATATTCTTGTATAAAGTGTATATGTGTGTGTGGGGGGGTGCATGCAAATATTTAATTTCTTTTGGGTAAATAACCAGGGAGGAAAGTTTTGTGTCAGAGAGTAGGTGTTGGCTGAACTTTATGGGAACTACCAAACAGTTTTGCAAAGTGTTACATAATTTCACATTCCCATTAGCAAAGTATGAGATTTCTGTTGCTTAATATTTAATGTTGTTAGCCTTTTTAAATTTTAGCCATTATAGTAATTATGGAGTTGTTTCTCACTATTTTAATTTGTATATCCCTGATGAAGAAAAGTTATTGGGAAATTGAGCAATTTTATGTGTTTATTGGCCATTTCTACATCTTTATTTAAGAGTTATTGTTTCATGACTTCTTCCCGCTTTTTATAGAGTTGTTTTTCTTTTTACTATTGAGTTCTGTTATTTTTATATTCTAAATAGTAGTAATTTTTCAGATATGTCCATAGAAGATATTTCCTTTCATTCTGTGACTTCCCTATTTATTTTCTTATTACTATCTTCAGACTAGCAGAAAATTTAAATTGTATGAAGTCCAGATTGCCACTTTTCTCTTTCCATGGTTAATATTTTCTTTGTCCTTCTAAGAAATCTTTGCCTAGCCCAAGGTCTCGAGGACGTACCTCTATATTTCTTCTAGAAGTCTTATAATTTTTATTTTTAAATATGTAGAAATACAAATCCTTCTCAAAATTATTTTCTGGATTATTTTTGATTAAAGTCACTTATTATTTTGTCCCATACAGATACCCAGTTTTTCAGCTCCATTAACTGAAAGACTCTTTTCCTGAATGTTGTCCTTGCATCATTGCACAAAATCAGCTTACCATAAAGGTATGGGTGTATTTCTGTGTTTTAGTCTGTTTATTTCACTTAATGTTACATCTATCCATACTACACTGCCTTAATTACTGTAGCTTTACGGTAATTCTTTTTTTTTTCAGATAAATTTGGTTTACTAGATTTCCTTGTTTCCTTTAAGATTTCAAACTTTTTCCTTCCGTATTTATTTTATTTTATTTTATTATTATTATACTTTAAGTTTTAGGGTACATGTGCACAATGTGCAGGTTAGTTACATATGTAGACATGTGCCATGCTGGTGTGCTGCACCCATTAACTCATCATTTAGCATTAGGTACATCTCCTAAAGCTATCCCTCCCCACTCCCCCCACCCCACAACAGTCCCCAGAGTGTGATGTTCCCCTTCCTGTGTCCATGTGTTCTCATTGTTCAATTCCCACCTATGAGTGAGAACATGTGGTGTTTGGTTTTTTGTTCTTGCGATAGTTTACTGAGAATGATGATTTCCAATTTCATCCATGTCCCTACAAAGGACATGAACTCATCATTTTTTTATAGTTGCATAGTATTCCATGGTGTATATGTGCCACATTTTCTTAATCCAGTCTATCATTGTTGGACATTTGGGTTGGTTCCAAGTCTTTGCTATTGTGAATAGTGCCACAATAAACATATGTGTGCATGTGTCTTTATAGCAGCATGATTTATAGTCCTTTGGGTATACCCAGTAATGGGATGGCTGGGTCAAATGGTATTTCTAGTTCTAGATCCCTGAGGAATCGCCACACTGACTTCCAAAATGGTTGAACTAGTTTGCAGTCCCACCAACAGTGTAAAAGTGTTCCTATTTCTCCAAATCCTCTCCAGCACCTGTTGTTTCCTGACTTTTTAATAATTGCCATTCTAACTGGTGTGAGATGGTATCTCATTGTGGTTTTGATTTGCATTTCTCTGATGGCCAGTGATGGTGAGCATTTTTTCATGTGTTTTTTGGCTGCATAAATGTCTTCTTTTGAGAAGTGTCTGTTCATGTCCTCCGCCCACTTTTTGATGGGGTTGTTTGTTTTTTTCTTGTAAATTTGTTTGAGTTCATTGTAGATTCTGGATATTAGCCCTTTGTCAGATGAGTAGGTTGTAAAAATTTTCTCCCATTTTGTAGGTTGTCTGTTCACTCTGATGGTAGTTTCTTTTGCTGTGCAGAAGCTCTTTAGTTTAATTAGAACCCATTTGTCAATTTTGGCTTTTGTTGCCATTGCTTTTGGTGTTTTAGACATGAAGTCCTTGCCCATGCCTATGTCCTGAATGGTAATGCCTAGGTTTTCTTCTAGGGTTTTTATGGTTTTAGGTCTAACATTTAAGTCTTTAATCCATCTTGAATTAATTTTTGTATAAGGTGTAAAGAAGGGATCCAATTTCAGCTTTCTACATATGGCTAGCCAGTTTTCCCAGCACCATTTATTAAATAGGGAATCGTTTCCCCATTGCTTGTTTTTCTCAGGTTTGTCAAAATCAGATAGTTGTAGATATGCGGCATTATTTCTGAGGGCTCTGTTCTGTTCCATTGAACTGTATCTCTGTTTTGGTACCAGTACCATGCTGTTTTGGTTACTGTAGCTTTGTAGAATAGTTTGAAGTCAGGTAGTGTGATGCCTCCAGCTTTGTTCTTTTGGCTTAGGATTGACTTGGCGATGCGGGCTCTTTTTTGGTGCCTTATGAACTTTAAAGTAGTTTTTTTCCAATTCTGTGAAGAAAGTCATTGGTAGCTTGATAGGGATGGCATTGAATCTATAAATTACCTTGGGCAGTATGGCCATTTTCACGATATTGATTCTTCCTACCCATGAGCATGGAATGTTCTTCCATTTGTTTGTACCCTCTTTTATTTCATTGAGCAGTGGTTTATAGTTCTCCTTGAAGAGGTCCTTCATGTTCCTTGTAAGTTGGATTCCTAGGTATTTTATTCTCTTTGAAGCAATTGTGAATGGGAGTTCACTCATGATTTGGCTCTCTGTTTGTCTGTTATTGGTGTGTAAGAATGCTTGTGATTTTTGTACATTGATTTTGTATCCTGAGACTTTGCTGAAGTTGCTTATCAGCTTAAGGAGATTTTGGGCTGAGTCAATGGGGTTTTCTAGATATACAATCATGTCGTCTGCAAAGAGGGACAATTTGACTTCCTCTTTTCCTAATTGAATACCCTTTATTTCCTTCTCCTGCCTAATTGCCCTGGCCAGAACTTCCAACACTATGTTGAATAGGAGTGGTGAGAGAGGGCATCCCTGTCTTGTGCCAGTTTTCAAAGGGAATGCTTCCAGTTTTTGCCCATTCAGTATGATATTGGCTGGGGTTTGTCATAGATAGCTCTTATTATTTTGAGATACGTCCTATCAATACCTAATTTATTGAGAGTTTTTAGCATGAAGGGTTGTTAAATTTTGTCAAAGGCCTTTTCTGCATCTATTGAGATAATCATGTGGTTTTTGTCTTTGGTTCTGTTTATACGCTGGATCACATTTATTGATTTGCATATATTGAACCAGCCTTGCATCCCAGGGATGAAGCCCACTTGATCGTGGTGGATAAAATGTCCACCCTCAGTTCCTTGTCATGTGGCCCTCTCCATAGGGCAGCTCATTGTATAGCAGCTTGCTGCTTCAAAGGCAGTAACAGAATTTTTTAGCAAGATAGATATTATAGCCATCTCATACAAGGTAATCACATACATGTAACCAAGTATATGCTGTCTTCTATGCTGTAATCTATTGGTTAGCAGCAAGCTACAGGTCCTAGCTGCACTTAAAGAGAGGAAGGTAATAAAAGGTGTGAATACCAGCAACCTGGGTTTGTGGGAACTACCTTAGAGTCTCTCCACTGCACAGTGATAATTACAAAAAACACAGATTTCAAAAATTATGATACAGTCAAACATTGATGAAAAACAAAAATATCCTTTCAAAATGAGGGAAATGCTCATAACCTTATGTAAAATTATATACATCCATCTATATATTAATTCCTACTAAATAATTCTATATTCCCTGCAAAAAACACTTTGAAAGTATTAAAATATTATCAGATTTTCCTTTATAGTGGCTATTTTTTACTTGCTTGCTTTGTAATACTTTTCTGATTTTCTAATTAATACGTAAGATATTAATTATATATAATTATATTTGTGCATTTTCAGAAAACATAAATATAAATTTTATGAATAAAAAAATGCTCAAACTGTCTTCTTCTCACTATATTTTTTTTCTTCCCTTTCTGGATGGCAGAGGATTTACTGAAATCCTGAAACTTAGGAGTCAGCAAGTTTTTCATTTGTGTTTGTCAAATGTCAAGAAAAGCTGAGGAGTTACAAGAAACTCAGTGATCCCTGACAGCTCTCTGCAATTGCAGCAAAATCTGAGCAAGACTGACAGAAACCACTCGGGGACAAACATCTGACTTCCACAGCAGTTAAAATCATTGAATACAGAACCAAAATGTCTTCATGTGAAAAACTCCATCAAGACCCAAGAAAACTTCTGACTCATTAGTAGTTTAGGGTACATCATGTGGATGCTTTTGAAACCCCATTCTTTGAAGTCTTCCCCACTTAACATATATCTAAAAACCATACATACATTCATTAGATATAATCTTAGTTACCAGTTTTAAAGGAAATAAAAGCATATAGAACACAATAGTTACATCTCCAAAATAAAGAAGCTTGTAAGATGTGTAAAAGTTAAGAATTCATTTTCACTAACAATTATTCTCAAACTTAAATGAGGATACTGAGGACATGAAAATTACAGAGCTAGTATCATGATGCTATAAAATACTGATATATTTAATATCCCAACAGGGACTGATTAGACTTATATATTTAAAACATATTTAAGTTGCTTAGAAATTTTAAGTCAATAAAATTCACATACAATAATATACATTATAAAATATGAATTTAAAGCTTTGGAATTTACTGATCAGACATTTCCAATAGCTCTTTGAAATGTTCCCATACATATATTTTGTTGTTTGCTTGATGGCAAAGTTTAAAAATGTTGAGTAAAAATATTAGAACTTGTGAAACCCTGTTTGTATACACCCAAACACACTTACATATCTATCTATATCTATCTATAGAAATATATGTATGCATTTGTATACACACACACACACACACACACACACACACATATGGCAAAATACATTGCTAGAACAAAGGAAGTGGAGTCACATAGATTCTTAGTATCCATTCAGATTCAAAAATTCTAACAAACTAAATATGGGATTAAGGAATGGTAAAATTTTAAATCTCATATTAGCACTACGTACTGTTTTAACAAGCAATCAACTAAACAAAGGCATTTTCTTCTCTTTAAGAGCAATTCAGTGGGCAGGTCACGATCTCTCTGTCTGTGTGTGTGTGTGTGTGTGTGTGTGTGTGTGTGTGTGTATGTATTTGTGTGTATGTGTTTCTCTGTCTGTCTTAGTTCATTTGAGCTGCTATAACACAATGCCATAGACTGGGTGGGTTATTAACAATAGAAATCTATTTCTCAGTTCTGGAGGCTGGGAAGTCCATGATCAAGGCCTCAGATTATGTGTCTGGTGAGGTCTTGTTTCCTGATCCTAGGTGATGATTACTTGCTGGGCTTTCACATGGTGGATGTACAAAAAGGCTCCCTTGGGCCTCTCTTAGAAAGGCATTAATCTCATTCATCAGGCTCTAGCTTCTGGACCTAATCACCTTGGAGAGGCCCCATGTCCTAACACCATCACCTTGGATTAGGATTGCAACGTATGAATTTCAGTGGGACACAAACATTTAAGACCATACCAGCCTCCTTCTTCCCTTTTCTACCCCCAACACCATGCCCATCCTTCCAAATTTGTTAGTAGTTTTCACTCACAGTTTATTTTATTTTTTTCTTCATCCATTTTCCTTAGACTGAATACATCTTTATGGGTCTCTCCTTTATGCTAATAAATGTTGGAAATATTGAATGGAGGTATTGTACATCTCATCCGTCTTTTCTGATGAGAGAGAAGGAATCACCAAGCAGAGCAGACATGTTGGGGCTTAATAACTTTCATAGTCCTTATGGTGTAAAGCCTCCGTTTGAAAATCGACATTCTATTAGGCTGAATCATGCTTGCCATTTGTCACAGTTCAGTGCACTAAACTTAGGACTGAAAATATGCATTTTGGATACTTGGGGTAAGAGAAAGTTTTTCTCACAGAAATCTGTTTATTTGGAGCTGAATGCAAGGAACTGATAATTTTCTTCTCAGAGGTTCTCATTACATAGTGTCATAAGAGACTGTCAGAAAAATGCCGATAAGAAAACATACTATCTGACTTCTCAGGAAATACATTAAAATAAATTCCCAGCAACAAAAACTTGCATTAATCCATTTGATAAGGAGTGGTAGAATTATCGTTCATTTCTACTAAGTGGCCTTTTCCTTGTGTTTGATCTGAAATATAGGACCTTAAATGCTATTGGGGGAGAAAGGTAAGTTTGTGATTTTCTACTTTTACTTTTAAACCAATTTATTTTATTTAATGATCCCTTGATATATTCAACTATAGCAATTTTAATAACTTACCTAAAATTCTGATTAAGTGGAGTAAATTCATAACTTTAAAACTGCCTCATTTTGATTATAACCAGGAAATATTTTTTTCATTTTTATTCTTCTTTATGTTGTAAAGGATGTATCAAAAATGATAATTCATAAATATTTTTAAAGTTTTTAAACAATTTTTGAGTTATTATATCTGTAGAAAAGCAGTACAAATTCCTGACATGCATATGCCACATAGACATGCTTAGAAATTACTATTACCTCCATTTCACACATGTTGTTTTTAAGCATACTTAAAGTAAGTAGAAACTTACTGGATTTTAATAGATGACTGATATTAGATATTGTCTGTGATTTCCCATACACTTTGCTAGATTATTATATGTCATATTTAATCACTAAAGCAGCCTCCACGAGGGTTGTTTCATATCATTATAAAGTGAGTAATTGGAAAGCTAAAAAGGCCACAGAGTTAGCAAATGGTAGACATGGCATTTTAAACTACATGTGTCTGACTTCAAGATACAGGATTAGATTTTTCAGATTTTATGTCCTATATGCAGAATCTATTCATTTCTTTTTCTTTCCTTTTCTTTTTTTTTTTTTTTTAGACATGGGGTCTTGCTTATTGCTCAGCCTGGAGTGCAGTGGCACAATCATCACTCACTGCAGGATCAACCCCTGGGCTCAAGCGATCCTCCCACCTCAGTCTCTCAAGTAGCTTGGACCACATGCGCATACCATCATGCTCAGTTAATATTTTATAATTTTTGTAGAGATGGGGCCTCACATGTTGCCCAGGCTGGTTTTGAACTCCTGGGCTCAAGTGACCCTTCTCCCTTGGCCTCCCAAAGTGCTGGGATTACAGACATGAGCCACCATGCCTTGCTCTTCATTTCTTAAACAGAATATTTTGATTGAGTGAAGCCTTATGTACACTAATAAAGTATACTTTTAAGCTTCTACACTGTACTTGTTAGTTAGGCTTTGCTAACTTAAATATGAACTATTTCATATGAATCTGAAACATAAAAACTGAAAAATGCCACACTTTGGCAAACTGTGAAGCCTTCATGAGAATAACTATGCCCTGTTGCATAGAGACCAGCTTAGTCAATTCTATCAGACCCCTCTCTTTATAATTTTAAAATATTTCATTGAAAGATAAGAATTATATATATTTAAGAAGTATGATGTGATAAGTGGATATACATATATATTATATAATGATTAGCACAATCAAATTGATTGACACATCCGTCATCCCCTATGCTGTACTGCATGAGCTTATTTGAGGGTTATTGGCAGAGGAAGAAGCTGATTAATCATTTTTTAATCTTTTATTAAACATGGTCACAATACCTTGGTAAAACTTTCAGTAAAATAGAAGAAAGGAATTTATCACCCTGCCTAACTTCTTGAGCACATTCATTTTAAGACTTTTGATTGACTTTTAAACTATTAGTTGGACCACCATACCAAAAGGGAGTGAACTAATCAAATGAACAATGCTGGCTTCCATTTATTGATTATCTTATTTATGATTTTTTTTCTGTGAGGCCCTTCCCTTCACCCTTGAGACCTTGAGTCCCAGAGATAAATATGACATAATCCCTGCTAAGAAGAGTGTAGCGACAGAAAGACTTGTTCATGTCACTTGCCTTCACAGGATAAGTTTTCTGTAAAATGTCACTTCCCTTATCGAATACAGGGCACTATGCTTGTTCATTGAAAAAGGAACTAAGTTTTAATTGTGGTAGGTTTCTGAGAAGAGAAGATGTCTGTATCAAGAACAAGTACAAGAAAACTGGACAAAATATGCATGTGTGTAGGATCTGCAGCGGATGGGGACATGAACCAAGGGCATGAATTTAAGACAATAAGCAGCATTTGAAAAATAAGAAAGGTAAGAGGGACTATGGCTTACTCTGAACAAGGTGTTCACTGAGGCTGTGTAGGGAAGGTGATCTGAAAATGGAGAAAACAAAACTGGAGTGATAGATAGGAAGCTGATTATGCAAGGGCTTATGGGGTTTTATATCAAGACTTGGGGTTTTATACTAAGGTTGTTGGAAAGCAATGAGTGCTTTGGGCAGAAATGATATGATGAGATGTTTTTGTTCCTACCTAGGCGCATTACTAAATGTCAACCATTTGGCATTCTGGTTTTTAAATGAGCAAAGATTGATAATGAATGCCATAAATCAGTCATGAAGAGCCTGGATCATCTCTGGGCTTGCAGAGGGAATAATGTTATGTTTCTGATAACACTCCCTGATGCCATACCTGTCTCTGACAGCTCTGTAGCTCTAAAGTTGCATATTTCAAAATCATTCAGTCACTGCAAAATTTTCTGCATGGAAATCACTAAGATCCAGCTGTTTACTACAATGATTTGTGAGAGGGTTTAACATGAAATTTAACTTAACTCTGCAATGTCTTGATCACCTTACTTATCTTTTTTCCGATAAAGCATTGGTGATCACAGCTGTGTGAATAAATTTTTAAAACAACATTTTTGTTAAAGAAATTTACTTGAGGGCTGAATGTGATGGCTTGCGGCTATGATTCTAGCATTTTTGGAGGCTGAGGCAGGAGCATGACTTGAGCCCAGAAGTTCAAGACCAGCCTGGGAAACATAAGGAGACACTATCTCTACAAAAACAACAACAATAACAAAAGCAAAAAACTCCCCACAACTTTACTTGAAGATCATTGTTGAGTTGGTCAACCCTATGGAGAGCTTACAATAGGACTGGTTAGAAGAGGTTCCTAGAAATTGTACTTATTTACAAAAATGCATTAAGAAATAGATGAGGTGTGAAGGTTTTCCTCTTCATATATTAGTAAATTCTGCATTCTTCACATTTTACCATCAAGTGAAACGACCTTGGATCCAGTATCCTCAGGCACCAGCCCTCTTCCAGCTCTTTCCAATACAATTTTTCTAGGTCCCACAGCTCCTTACAATGTAATTTCTTTCTTTTTAAGCAGGCTTAGCAGAAGCCTGGTCAGATTATGTTGTAACTTAATCATTGTTATGGATCTAGTAGCCAGAAGAGGATCACAATGGGGTCAAGTGTTGAGTCACATTGTAGTGGCCTTTTCAACATCTTCATCAAATGGGTGAGTTGTAGCCCTCTAACAGGAAGGTGCAGGCCAGGTCAAGAGGATTTAGAGGGGTCTCAGTTTGCAATGATTTCAAGTTTATCAACCCAGTTTTTTGTTTTTTGCTTTTTGTTTTGAGACTGAGTCTCACTCTGTAGCCCAGGCTGGAGTGCAGTGGTGTGATCTCAGCTCACTGCAACTTCCGTCTCCCAGGTTCAAGAAATTCTCCTGCCTCAACCTTCTGAGTAGCTGGGATTACAGGTGCCCACCACCACGCCCAGCTAATTTTTGTATTTTTAGTAGAGACAGGGTTTCACTACGTTGGCCAGCCTTGTCTCGAACTCCTGACCTCAGGCAATCCGCCTGCCTCGGCCTCCCAAAGTGCTGGGATTACAGGCGTGAGCCACCGCTCCTGGCCTCAACCCAGTTTTGCTAATTTAAAGTCTCAATTCATCTCTTCCCAACTAGGGCCGTAAACTTGGCATTGCACAAGACAGTATCCAACCTTCTCTGGAACTCTGCTACTCATATAATTAGCCTGTCCCTCATCATTAGCTTTCCTTGCTCTCTGACATCACATATAGCTCTGTCTATATTCTGCTAAAGAGGTCCTTTGACTTTCCCACTTTGCCTTTAACTATTAAATATGCTTTCAGTTTTGTCTTGTCTTTTTTAAATGCATTAATAGGACTCAGTAATTGCCATCAAATTCCATTCTCCTTATGATTAGTACTTAGTCCTAATCTCTCAAATCCCTGAGATATTGTTCTAGCCAGTGTGTCCTCATTCATCACTGGTTTTAACTAACAATTGCGGTGCTACAATGTACCAGGGATTGTCAATGCTTCTCCTACCAGCAGTTAAGGGATCCTCAATGCCAGAGAGAGATCAGCTCTAAAATACTATTTTTGACACTGTTTCCTCAGATAAATTCTGGAACCAACTACCGTAGGTTCGGTTTCCTGGGAAACAGACTTATTTTGAAATTGCTATAATGGAGGTTTATTATTAAGGAGCAAAGAAGTAGGACTAATCAGATATAAGTTGAACTGTGAGGCATTTGCAGTACAGACTGTAGCTGATCCCATAGGAACCCTGGAGCTGTGATTGACCTTGAAAACTGTCCCATTTTAAGCAAGTGGCTGTTACTTTGTACTACCCCCTGCCTTCCACCACCATGAACTAGTCAGTGTTTTTAGTATGCCCTCAGGAAAGGACCTTGATCTTGGGTGAGGTGGTATCTAGGGTAGAAGACAATTCCCAGAGAAGGCTTTAGCTGACAGCTGTTATGTAACCAACATTCCCAGAAGCTGGGAGAATGAGTGTCTCCATTTTAAAATAGAGAATTACGTGGTTCATTCTAGCATTCTCTCTCTGAAGCTTTCTCGCGACTTTGTCCACTTTGTTCAGTGCAATTTTTGCTTTGACAAGCTGTGAAACGTCCTAATTGTTCTCATAATTTCATATGGCTTATCTATATCTTCCTCTTCTTTTTATTTTTGTAAAATTCAAAATAATTAAATTATCTTTGAGTCATTAATTTAATCTAATTTAGTTGTATTAATTTCCATTTTAAATGAATAGCAATATTAATGAGTCTATGGAATGGATTCTAACACTAATAGATTGTAACACAATTTTAACAAAAACTTCTTGGATTCTTTGTAAGTTTAATTAATGAATCATTCTATCCATCAAGTCATAGCTGTGGACCTTTTATACTAACACAGAAAAATCAGCAGATTTATATTCTTTTATTTAGATATTTATATCCAGATTTTTATCCGAAAAATTTAGAAATGAATATAATTAAAACTTAATCCAAAAAGAACAGCATTAATATACAAAACTCTAGATTTTCAAGGTTGACTAGACTAGAGATGGAAACAATTCAAATTATGGGATTTTAATTTTGAAAGAACATGATCTGGGGAGGGAATGCATCAGGATAAATAGCTAATGCATGCGGGGCTTAATACCTTGGTAATGGGTTGCTAGGTACAACAAACCACCACAGCACATGTTTACTTATGTAGCAAACCTGCATGTCCTACACACGTATCCCAGAACATAAAATTAAATTAAAGTAAAAAGAAAAAGAAAGAACATAAAAAATCTGGTTAATGGTTATCTTCACTTTGCACATAAAAAAGATGAAATTGAGATCATCTAATTATGACTGCCTCAGTATCTGCCAATTAATGAAACTGATGGGAACAAAACCGTGACTCTGAAGCCTATAATCATTGCACCAAACTATTTTAATACACTTGTTTCTCCCTAAATACATCTTATGAAGCAGCTTTAGTAAAATCAAATGTACATGCTTTCTAAAGCTTCAAACCAAATTAGGACCAGCAGAAACATCCAAATACAATGTGATTGTTGTCACTGTTCATTCTCTGGAAGGATCACTATCATTCTCAGGGCAATTTCAATAAATGCAATGGACTCATCCACCCATATCCCTATTGTCTTCCTTAGACAGACATCTGGAAGCTCAACACCTGGGTCTTATCTCTTTAATCCCTCCTCTTTAATCAATTATTGACATTACATGGGAATGGTTGTTGGTTTCTCCTTTTGTCTCTTGTGTGGATTTCACACTATTGGGCACTATTATGTTAAAAGCACTCTACTAAGTGCTGCATGGACACTAGTGAATTAGATACAGATCCAGCCCTCATGGACCTGTCCATCTCACAGGGCAAATAGTATTTATGCAGATAATTATGTAGGTGATTATTTAGCTGTAATTCTAATAAGATTTATAAAATAAGAGTCCAAAGTAAAACCAGAGCTTGCAATTTAAGAGTGAACAATATCTTAGTAAGTAGTGAAAAAAGTACTAAGAGGGAGTGGCATTTGAAAGACTTAAAAGTTGGCAGGAGTGTAGAGGAATCATGCAGGAGAAGCCCACAGAAAACCTGGGGTTCAAGGTCCTTCAGAAGGGAGATGGTTTTTGATGCACCAAATGAAGAAGCCAACAAAACCAGAGTTGACCAGTGTGAGGTAGGGAGGTGTGCTGAATGAAAGTAGTGAGAAGGAGGAAACAGATTAAGGAGTTTTGAGTACCTAAAAGGTATTGGATTTGATATAAGAGAAGTTGAAGGTTTTGACTGAGAGTAATGTGTGAATTGTTGGTCTGGAGAAGGCATGATCAGATTTTTTCTTCCTTTTATCACTTTTGTTTCCACCTTGATTATAGATTAGATCTGGGGAGAAACAAATAGGAAGGAGATTTTGATTAGGGGAAAATTGTAGTGCTCTAGGTAAGGCATAATTTTTGCTTTTAAATTATCAAAGTGTTATGGAAATTAGAAAAAAAATTCACTCTAAGAACTTTTTTATCCAAAATTTTTTTGGCCATATATCTTTATAATTTTTATATTTTCATAATTTTATTATACTTACTACACTTATTTAATCTACTTGAGTCAATTAAATTATGTCGTATTTTATAATGTGAGTAAATAAATGCCACAATTATTATTTTGATTTTTCTATAATCTTGGAATTATATCACTCTAGGCACATATACTTACTGCTTACTGAACATTTCTACTTAGATATATAAAAGACCTTTCAAAGCAACTGTATTCGAAACTAAACTCTTGATTCCTTCCCTCACTCCAAAGCCATTTTTTTCATGTTTTCTCATCTCAGAAAATACTAAGTCCATCCTACTCTTTGTTCAAACTAAATATCTTGTGGTCATCATCTAGAATCCGATCATTTCTCACCATCAATACCACTACTACCTATTTCTCTTGATTGACTTGTTTATTGCAATATTCTCCTTAATAGTCTTCCCTTGAAGGAGGACGAATAAATAGGACAATTATTTACCAACAAAAAGCTGCTATGTAACATTCTTCTCTTTGCTTTTCCAGACACACTACCTATGGCAAGGGTCTAACCAATTTACTCATCATACATAGAAAGTTAGTATCAGGAATAAGACTGAAAAGAGTATTCTATTTCTTATTTCTAGTATTGTGTTCTTTGAGCTTTATCATCTTCACAATTTAAAATAAAACAAAGAAAAGCTTAGCCACATTACTAGTGACACCTAGGCACAGCAATATGAAGTGAGGCCATTATCTAGTGCTTATTTTTCAATCTAATGGGAGTCAAGACAATGAAGAGTTATTAATTCCCTGTGTAACTTTTCTTTCTCATCCGTCTGCACTATTCAGTTGGGTTAGGTGACCTATTAGGCCTTTGCCATTTATTATAACTTTCTATGATTTACAATAATTCTCAACTGCATTTGATCCATTTTCCTTTAAATTTTTGATTAATATAGGCCAAATAATGTGGCATTGAAATTAGTGGAATGGCATTGAAATTTTATTAAATGCTCCTAGACTTCAAAAGTATTTTTTTTACTATGAAATAGTTAGATTTATTTAGGATCTAAGAGAATGCTGTGAAGAAATGAACTTTTTTCATAATATTGCCAGCAAAGGAGAGTTATATTTATCTCTTCCATCATAATTCTACCCGATTTCAGATGCCCATCATCAACTAAACCTTGAATTGAATGGTGACATCTAAATTATCAACGTTAATTTTTTATGGAAAGATAGATTTTAATGAATCATATATTTTTAAGCTAAGGATCATAAATTAAGAACAGAGATTTTAAGTCTGACAGTTCTTAACTGTTTTCTATACAAGCATAGTCTTAGTAAAATTTTGTAATGTCTAAATCGTGTTTATTTCCTGAGAACCTATATCCTAAGGTGTTCTGTGAATTAAATAGACACTATATGTAAATTGCATCATGCAGTGGGATTGTTTAATTCTTGGAAATTACTAGCGGCATTAGTCTTAGGAGGTAAATAAAATCAAAGCTTTTCTGAAGAAAAAACTGAAAAGGTTTTCTGCTGTGAGTCAAAAAATTATAATGGATTCAATAGTAAGCTTGTCCTTTTCTCTGTATTTTTCCTTTTCTATTTACATGGTATAATTTCACTCTTTGAGCCACCTCACTTACTCAGAGGCCTTCTGATTCAAAGGTAGACTTCAACATCTAGCCAAGTGCCCGGTATGCGATGGGTGACAAAGACATATTTTTAAATGAAAAATTTCAAACCATACACCATGTACTCCTTTTCAAAGTGTTTCTTTTTAAGTCATTTCACTGGATTTAAATCCTATTAACCCTACTTTCATATTATGCTTTCTATGTTTCCTTAGGGTTGTAGGATTTTTCTTCTCAGTCACTTTGCAAGCCAGGGACCCTCGATCGATGACGCCCCGCCCGGGCCTTGCTCTGCCACGCTGCATGCCCCAGCTCGCCTGTGTGATAGCTTGTACCCACGTTCAGTGGTTCCTGAGCTTTTGCACCCTGCCCAAGAAGAATGAGGATATGCTGGACATTGAAGGGTGAGGAGGGGGGAGAAGAATTTTATTGAGTGAAGGAACAGCTCTCAGCAGAGAGGGGAGGCAGAGGGTGGTTCCCCTAACTAAAGGTGGGAAAGTCTCCTGTGTGGCTGGGTCCAAGGCCTTTTATGGACCCAGAATGGGGAGTGCATGCTGATTGGTTTGTGAGTATGCAAAAAAGATTAGCGCAAAGATAAAAGATACCACTCAAAGGTGGGCACGACAGTGTAGAAAAACCAATTCGGAAAGGGTAGCTATATGTTAAATAAGCGAAGGGTGGGGACCAATCAGAGGAAAGTGCTCCGATCGGGAAGACAGGTTCTCAATCCCATCCAAGGACTTAACCTGTAGCATTGCTTTCAGGCTTTAAACTGTCTTTGGCTCGAAGGTGGGGTTACAGAGGGGACCCGCCTCTATCTGCCTAGACATTTGGTTGCCGCCTGCTGCTCTCATTAGTTCTTTTCTTACATCCACACTTTCTTCCTATTTAAATTCCTCTGTGTCTCTTAATGCAAACAATGATGGAATGCATAGTAGTGAATTGCCTAGACGCTGAAACCAAAGGGTCTTCAGATGAAAGTCCTATCAATTTCAAGTCAAGTGAGCTATTCAACAATTTTGTGCTACAGTTCCCTCATCAACAAATGAGGATAATCATTATGCCATTATCATGAGTAAGTTTTGAGGAGTAAACACATATAAATTAATTTTTTCAAATGCACAACCTTATATAAAACTAGCATTCACAATTATGGCTATTTCTGTTATTGAGTTGCACCATTGTAATATTTTATCTTCCTGATTATTAGTCTTCTTGAAAGATTAAATTCCAGTAGCAATGTATACATTCTTTCCTTCAGAACATATTTACTTATTACTACTTATAATGCTGTAACGGGCACTATATCTGCAGAATTGAATAGTTCACGATTCCTCATACTGAAAGGCTTCACAGTCATAGGCAAGGGTAAATTTGTTGGAGAGAAACAGATAATTCAATATCATAACCACTTCCTTAGAAACAAAAACCAACAAACAAAAGAAGAAAACTTTAAGGACAAACCTACAAAATAATTGCAAAACTACTATACCAATTTATATAACTGCAGATTTTATAAGGAGTGGAATTATATTTATCGTGTTTTTAAAGTTTGTATATTTTTGTATAATAAGCTCAATTTCATTTATCACCAGCAATAAATTATCCAAACTATTCTTCACTGAATTCTGCAAACCACTTTTCCTCCCTTTTCACCGTCTCCCTTTTTACCCTACACACAAGACACCCATTCCTATGATTCTCGGATATTTCTCTCCACCTTAAGCTATTCTCATATCCCTTCTTTTTCTCTCTTCAAAACCCAGGTCAATATTTTTTAATCATCCTCACAATAATGTCAGTTTGATCCTTTTCACCCACATAGCAACTGTGTATTCTGAGAAAGTATGTAACATTATGAATAATCATTTTGTTCATGTGTTTAGCCCAATCAGATTGTGAAATCCTACAAGTCAGAAACATTGTGCACTTCAATTTTGTTTGCCCACTAGCGCTGCTTCCCGTTCTCCACCACAGAGCCAAGCATAATAAACACTCAGCAACTATTAGTAGATGACAAAAAAAACCTTTACAAACAGACAAATGAATGAAAAAAAGTAGTCATTGCGCTTCAATTACTTCCTGTAAAATGTTAGTACCACACCAAATCCCATAACAGGAAGTGAGTGGGGAGACGGAGTACAGGAAGAATTGTTAGACAATTTTTGAAAGCACATTGCCTTGCATTCCTGCCGTATATTCACAATAAACCTGAGTAAACTGAAGGCTCTGAGAAATACTGAGTTCAAGGACCTAGCATTTTCTTTCTTTCTTTGATTATTGACTCTCCTGCAATATTATACATTTAATTATACATTAAAGACAATGTATAATTCAGATATATTAATTATTGCAAAATATAATGTATAATTAATATATATTTAATTAAATGTATTCATTCAATATACATTAATAGAACCACATTTGAGAAACATGAGTATACTCCTTTAAAATATTTTTTGTTTGGTTTATTTTGATAATGGGTACATAGTAATAGAATTACAAAATTATTAAAAATAATGTTCTTTTAATAAATTAGAAAGACACATATGGGTTATTTTATATATATATATAAAGCTATATATGCTTATGTGGATATATACACATACGTATGTTCATATGTTATGTGTGTATACATTACATATATATATATATATATATATATATATATATATACACACACACACACACACAATTTTAATTTTGAGAAATATAAAATTGCATGGTCTGGATCCGTAGGATGAAGTGACTGCATGTCTTTAAATAGGACTATACAAAAGCTCATGTAAGATGTCCTTTCAGATTTGATATTCTGATTGAAGAACATCAATAGTCTTTAATTACCGCTTGGTAATCATGAAGCCTTAGGGTTTTTTCAATTTCACTTTTATCACATATTTAATTAATGAACATCACAGCATTTTAAGTTACGTTAATTTAAATTTTATTTTATTTCTCAGTTGTATTATCTAAATTATAAGGAAAATAAAAACAAAAACAGAATGTTGTAATAGATATATCATTGCTTTGGGTGATTAAAACACACACACACACACACACACATACACACAACACACATACACATTTATAATCTTCTTTCAGTCACTAGCCAATATGTGAACTTTATGAAGTCCCCTTATCCAGTAACAAGAAGCACAAGTGCCACAGTAGCAGTATTAAAAGGGATGGTCATGTTTCCTTTAGTATCTCCTTCCTTCAAACTTATGCACATACCACAGCTTTGTTGATGTCCCTTAGTCAAAGATTTCCAGAAACACAGATACAGTCAAACTAAGGTGAGTTTATTGACTTGTTGCAATGAGGGAGAGAATACACCATTGGAAACTTGAGGTTTCTCAGAAAAAAGAAAAAAGAAATAAATACCTACTAAAGGTGTGGGGAAAGCTTTAGATGGTCTTTGAGAGAGTTTAACAAAAAGAGAGTTTTGCTCTTAATTAAGTATGCTCTACGAGCCCAGGGTTTTTGTGCTTCCACATCTTTAATAATCTTATGTAAATGGCAAAAGGAACAAGACAGATCAAAAGCTATACATGTTTTATAAAGCAGCAGTATTTTTACAATGATTAGTGATTTTGTGAATTTTTTATTGTTTTTTTTGGTCACTTGGATGTCTTCTTTTGAGAAGAATCTGTTATGTCCTTTGCCTATTTTTAATGGAGTTCTTTGGTTTTTGCTTGTTGATTTCTTTAAGTTCCTTATAAATTCAGAATATTGACCTTGGTGGGATGCACAGTTTGCAAATATTTTCTCCCATTCTGTAGGTTGTCTCTCTCTCTCTCTCTCTCCATATATATATATATCCATATATATATATATCCATATATATATATCCATATATATATATATCCATATATATATATATCCATATATATATATCCATATATATATATATCCATATATATATATATCCATATATATATATATCCATATATATATATCCATATATATATATCCATATATATATCCATATATATATATCCATATATATATCCATATATATATATCCATATATATATCCATATATATATATCCATATATATATCCATATATATATATCTCCATATATATATCCATATATATATCCATATATATATCCATATATATATATATCATATATATAATTGCTGTGCAGAAGCTCCTTAATTTAATTAGGTCATACTTGTCAATTTTTGTTTTTGTTGCAATTTGCTTTGGAGGACTTAGCCAAGTATTCCTTGCCAAGGCCAATGTTGAGAAGGGTATTTTCTATGTTGTCTCTAAGAATGTTATAGTTTCAGAACTTAATTTAGATCTTTAATCCATCTTGAGTTAATTTTTGTATATGCTGAAAGGTAGGGGTCCAGTTTGATTCCTCTGCATATGGCTAGCCTGTTATCCCCGCATATTTATTGAATAGAAACTCCTTCCCCTATTGCTTGCTTTTGTTAGTATTGTCAAAAATCCAGATAGTTGCAAGTGTACAGCTTTATTTCCAGGTTTTCTACTCTGTTTCATTGGTCTATGTGTCTGTTTTTATACCAGTACTATGCAGTTTTGGTTACTGTATCCTTGTAGTATAGTTTGAAGTCAAGTAGTTTGATGCCTCTGTCTTTGTTTGTTTTTCTTAGGATTGCTTTAGCTCTTCAGGCTCCTTTTTGGCTCTATATGAATTTTAGAATGGTCTTTTTCTAATTATGTGAAAAATGACATTGTAGTTTGATAGGAATAGTATCAAATCTGTCAACAAAATGCAAGTCATAACCACAATGAGATATCATCTCACACCAGTCAGAATGGCTATTACTAAAAAGGCAAAATGTAATAGATGCTGGAGAGGCTGCAGAGGAAATGAAACACATGTGCTTTTCTTGGGAATGTAAATTAGCTCAGCCACTATGGAAAGCAGTTTGGAGGTTTCAAAAAGAACTTAAAACAGATACCATTTGACTCATCAACTCTATTACTGGGTACATACCCAAAGGGAAATAAATTGCTCTACCCAAAAGACACATGAACTTGCATGTTTATCATAGTAATATTCACAATAACAAAGACAGAATTGACTCAAGTGGTCATCAGTGGTGGATTGGATATAGAAAAAGTGGTTATGTATATACCACAGAATACTATGCAGCCAGAAAAAGAATAAAATCATGTATTTTGCAGCCATATGGATGCAGCTAGAGGCCATAATCCTAAGCTAATTAAAGCAGAAATAGAAAACCAAATGCCACATGGTGTCACTTATAAGTGAAAGCTAAACATTGAGTACACATGGACATAAAGATGGGAGAAAGCAACACTGTGGACTACTAGATGGGGACAGAAAGGAGGAGAGCTTGGGTTAAAAAACTATGTACCCAGTTCTGTGCTCACTACTTGGGTGACAAGATTCATACCCCAAATGTCAGCATTACACAGATACCTACATAAAAAACCTGTGCATGTACCCTTGAATTTATAATAAAAGTTGAAATTATTTTTACAAAACCAACATTTAACAAAATTATGGCAGTACAATATGTATGTGCATGTGTGTGTATGTGTGTGTCTGTATACACACACCCACACAATTGCATAGGTGGCTTCTATTTTGAATCCTGTGTCTTCAAAACCAGAAGAAATAAATGAACATGTTTATATTAATAACAACTACAACAACAACAAAAAGCCAGCTTTGGTTGCTCATATTAGCCATGAAAGGAAATGTTTGATCATTAGGGAGTTTAGGGTAATGCTTTGGCATTTATCAAAAATGATTACAGAATGGTCTGTTTTGTTTCGTTCTATCACGTCACAGGGTGGCCTTGTTTGATGTTGCTGTTTTATGAAATTACACTATCCATGTACAACATAAGGAAAATGTGACCCAGCTGAGAGCGCCAGGCCAGATTCTGGCAACACCGATGTCTGGATGTCAGTGCCAAACCAGCTCCCTGATGTGAGGCTCTGCTTTTTTTTTTTTCTCTCTCTCTCTGTTTTTCTGTTTCAACACATCACACTACGTTATATCTTGCATTAAAATTGCAATGTATGCCTGCCTCTTTCACTAGACTGAGACCCTAGAGAGCTGCTACTTGTATTTTTTCTCCTTTATATTACCTGTGACATATAGTCTTATAACTTCTGGTAGTAGGTGCTAAGAAATTGTTTATTCGAATAGAAATGAACTCAAAGATAGCTCTTTCTTTTATGGTCCTGAAAAACTGTAGACCAACTGTGATAATTAAACAACCATCAGGTTTAAAGGGACCATAGTAATCTGCATGAGACCATGCTCATTCTGACACCAAGTATAAATTCTAGGGATTTCCAAAACTACTCTTAGGTCTGAAAATTTACTAGAAAGACTCAAAGAATTCACTGAAAGCTGTTATTTCATAGATATAGCTTATTGCAGGGAAATGATACAGAAATAAAACCAGTCAATGGAAGAGACACACGGGGCAGAGTCCAAGAGACATGCTAGGCACTGAACTTCTGAGGTTCTCTCCCTGCTAGCATGCTGGTTAAGTATGTGTGACAAAACTCACAGAGTATTATCAACCAAGGACACTCACTTGAATGTTGAGTTTATAGTTTTTATTGTGACTTCATTATATAGGCATTATTGATTGATTGGTTGACTGACTGATGTACATATGGTTGATCTCAGTCTTTAGATCAGTTGATAGTTTATTATTCAAAGCCCGCACCCTAATCATATTTTTGGTATTTCTGGCATTTCTATTCCTTACCCTAAAGTATGGTCAACTCCAGTTCTATATCACAGTTACTGTCTGGCTACTCCAAGACCCTCAGGCAAACAAAGATTATCTTCCAGGAGCCAAGAGCAAAATCCAAATTCTTTTGGGGCAAGGTTAAATTTCTTAGCACACAGGTTTTCATATCAAATTCTTACGATGAATATTATTCTATCATAATAGGTCTTTCTATGTTCTGAAGTATCTTATCCTAATAGTATGCCAAAATAATGTCTAACTTTAGCAAAATCATAGTTCACAGGTAAATTGATCAGGAATAGTTCTGAAAAGTGTACTGCAGTTGAAGAAAGCACTATCTAGAGAGACGAAGACAATCATTCAGGTCTGAACATTTCTATTGTATGTCATTCTCACTTTCTCGCTTTCATTTTCCTCTTCTGCCCATAACATCAACTTTTAGCCATTCATCTTCTTTCTTTCTTGAGTAAAAAATTATGAGAATTTATCCCTTATTAACAGTGACTGTCTTTCTTTTTTAATTTTTAGTCTGTATGAGTACATAGTACGTGTATATATTTATGCGGTGAATGAGATATTGTGATACAGGTATACAATGTGTAAGAATCACCTCTGTGTAAATGGGTTATCCATCACCTCAAACATTTATAATTTCTTTGTGTTACACACATTCCAATTATATTCTTTTAGTTATTTTTAAATGCACAATAATATTTGACTGTAGTCACCCTGTTGTGCTATCAAATACTAAATCTTATTCATTCTATCTAACTATAATTTTGTACACATTTGCCATCTGCATTTCCCCCACACACACCGCTATCTTTCCCAGTCTCTGGTAAACCATCATTTTACTCTCTATATTCATGAGTTCAGTTGTTTTAATTTTTAGTTCACAGAAATGAGTGAGAACATATGAAGTTTGTCTTTCTGTGCCTGGCATATTTCATTTAACACAATGCCCTCCAGTTCAATCCATGGTGTTGCAAGTCACAGGATCTCATTCTTTTTTTATGGCTGAATAGTACTTCATTGGGTACCACATTTTCTTTATTTGTTCATCTGTTGAAGGACACCTAAGTTGCTTCTAAATTTTGGCTATGGTGAATAGTGCTGCAATAAACATGGGAGTGCAGATACCTCCTTGATATACTAATTTTCTTACTTTTGGTTTTATACCTAACAGTGGGATTACAGGATCCTACGGTAGTTTGATTTTCCATTTTCAGAGGAGCCTCTATACTGTTCTCCCTAGTGGCTGTACTAATTTACATTCTTATCAAAAGTGTACGAGGGTCCTCTTTTCTTCACATCCTCACCAGCATTTATTATTGCCTGTCCTTTGGATAAAAGCTATTTTAACTGGAGTAAGACAATATGTCATTATAGTTTTGATTTGCATTTCTCTGATGATCAGTGATGTTGAGCACGTTTTCCTACATCTGTTTGCCATTTCTTTGTCTTTTGAGAAATGTCTCTTTAGGTATTTTGCCCATTTTTTAAATTGGATTATTAGATTTTATTCTATAGAGTTGTTTGAGCTCCTTATATAATCTGGGCATAAAGACCTTATCAGATGGAGAGTCTGCAAATATTTTCTCTCATTCTTTGATTGTCTTTTTACTTCGTTGTTTCCTTTGCTGTGTAGCTTTTTAACTTGATGTGATTCCATTTGCCAATTTTTGTTTTGGTTGCCTGTGCTTGTGGGATATTACTTAATAAATCATTACCCAGACTAATGTCTTAGAGAATTTCCCTTATGTTTTCTTTTAGTAGTTTCATAACTTGAGGTCTTAGATTTAAGTCACTAGTCTATTTTTATTTGATTTTTGTACATAGCAAGGATAGGGATCTAGTTTTCTTCTTCCACATATGGATAGCTTTTCGTCCCCAATGTATGCTCTTGTCAACTTCATTGAAAATGAGTTCCTTGTAGAAGTATGGATTTGTTTCTGGGTTCTCTATTCTGTTCCATTGCTCTATGTGTCTAGTGCCTGGAATGTGGCTTCAGGACTCTACTTGGTGGTTTATTTTCCTATGGCTGAACTGGTGTCCAAATTGCAAGACAAAGTTCTCTTTACTATCTTCTCTCCTTTACTCAAGAAAAAAAAGTCTCTGCTGAAGCTGCAAGCTATGTTGCCTGAAGTTGGGGAAAGGTTGATGCAGGCACTCCCTTAGCCACCGCAGCTGGAATTTTACTGGATCATGTGCACCCCAAGCTCACTGGCCTGAGCCCAGCACAGCAACAGGTCTTGCCCAGCAATTTCAGTCTTTGTGGCCTATGCTGCCTTTCAAGTTTATTTGGGACTGCAGGGCACTTTAGCCTGCAGTGGTGGGACTAGCCAGAATTTACTTTCTGACTGCTGGGATAGCTGAGTCCCCTCTGGCTAGAGCTTGTCTAAATGCTCCCTCCATGGGCGCCATTTGAATTCTGCCCCATATTTGTTTTTCACTGTGCCGGCAACATTAGGTTCCAATGCAACGCCTCACAATCACTGCACTGTCACCCCCCAAAGCACACAGATTCTCTCTTTCAGCCATGAGGCCACTGCAGAGGGAAGGGAGAGTGGTGATGGAGGCAATTCAGGACTGTCTTTTCTACCCTCTTCAGTGCCTCTTCGCTTATATGATGTGAAAACCAGGTAGTTATCGTTTACCTGATTTTTCGTTCTTATGAAGGTGATTTCTTGTGTGAATAGTTGTTTAATCGGTGTTTCTGTTGGGGGTGAGTGGTGGGAGGGGCTGATCACTGAAGGTTTCTATTTAGCCATCTTGCTCTAACTCCTCCTTGACTGTTTTTCTTGAAAGTGATGCTTTTTTTGAAAATCGCATGTGGTCATTCCATAACACTAAAACAGCCCAAGTGCATTATGGGTTTTTTTCTTAGTCTTGATCAAGCATATTTTGCTACATTAGCATGAGATTGGTGGCTGCCCTTATTTATAGGTGTTCCCTGTTTTCTCTGTATTTCTCCATCATGGCATTCTAATCTCTGAATGGAAGATTTCCATCTAGCTGGACTGGACATGAGCTTTTGGATGTGTCTGTGCAATGCATTGGCTTTCATTCATGAGACTAGGTACTATTGTCTATTGTGTTTGGGTGTGAATGTGTATGTAGGAGGTAGAATGGGAAAGTAGTTGCTCCAAAAACCTGGAAGTAGTATAACATTATTTCATTGACCATTTGTTAATATGTAGTAATTTCCAGTTGCTGTAGTGCTACTGTGGTTGAGATAGAAATATATGAGGCATAATCCTTAGTTCAGGACACTACGGTTATATATCTGCAATTTGAAAAACCAAGTTTACCAGGCTTTATTTTTGCAGAAGACTTTTAATTTTTCGTGACTCAATCAAGCTTTAGACATTATATTTAAAATTAATAGATTTTAAATGAAAGGGCAAAAATTAGGCAGTGGAAAATGAAACTCTCCTGAGCACTTCCATGTTTTTCTAAAATAAGAACAGATTTTTAGATAAACTGTCCTTTCCTGAGGCCAATTCAGGATTTTTTTTTTTTTTTTGGCACCCAACATTACTTAGTATTGCACATCAATGGCAGTTTCTCTGAAACTTTTCTCAATTTCTTACTGAAATACTGCTACACTTTGGTGATTTTAAAACTCCAATATGTACTTCATGTCAAATTATATCAATGCAATGAAGTTAGACACATTCATCAAAAGTTTTAAGAATATCAACACAGTAAAGATAAGTCATGAATTTAAATTTGTGATTAAATATTATCAGAGGAGCCAAATGGTATTTCCAGTTAATAATCCTCAGGCAGAATTTTCAATAGACAAGTTGTCTCTACTAAGAGGCTGCATGATGAATGAAATGAACAGAATATAGAACTTGAGTCTGTTTGAGTTCAAGGTCTTACAATTACCAAGTATATGAATTGGCAAAGGAATCATTAAACTCTCAAAGTTACCTCTAGTGTTACTTTAAAGTTCATGATAAAAATGAATAAATATTTGTGAATTACTTTCAGAAGTGCTAAATATTTTATTGCTATTTTAATTGCCTCAGTATAATTTTCATCGATTTTAAAATGATGAGTCCTACGTATAAAGGTGGGCTTAAATAGGAGGGAGGTCTGACTGGTTTAGTTGGAATAAAATTATCATTGCTTATAAAATTAACATGTAATATAAATTGTCATTGAATGAAATGGTGAATAACAGTGAATGTGTTCTTAAAGCAGTAAAAGAAGTGATTAATTTAATTGTTCTCTACTATTCCCAAAAAGAAGTATATCAGAAATGATTGCAGGAAGCATTAATTTTTACCTTAATTAGATATATTGAGGATGCAAAAATTTCTGAGAGAAGATCTTATGTTTTCTCACCACAAAAATGAAAATTATGCAAGGTAATGCATATATTGATTAGCTTGATATAGTCAGTCCACAACGGATATGCGTTTCAAAACATTATGGTGTAGATTATATATATAATTATATTTTATCCGTACAATTATATATAATTTTATATGTCAATTAAAAAATAAACTCAATGGTAAGAAAACATTTTTTATTTTACATTTTCACTTTCTAAATTCTAAAGAAAATTTCTTTGGCTAGTCTTACAAAACAACAGAAGAGTTAAGATTTAAAAACCTTAAAAATTAATGAGACTCATTTTATTCCTTAAGGGTATCGTGTGTTTTGTGTTACTGATGACAAGGATAGGGTGCAGAAAATTCACCTTGTATATAATTTCATTTGAAAAGCATTTCTGTTGGGGGCTGGCCATAAAGAGACCAGTTGTCACCAAAAGATTATTTAGTTGGAGAATACAATGATATACAATAGATGAATATCGATCTTTAGGTAAAGAGGATAATCCAAAGCCACAAAAAAGGAAATTAAAAGAAATTAGAAGGATAAAGGGCAGGTTAGTGGAACAGAATTTGAGCATTAAAAACAGTGGTCTATTTTATAACTGTGTACTACACCATCACTTATATGTGAATGACCCTATAAGTTAGTCTAGTTCTCTCTGGAGTGTTCCATATCTGTATGGAATTACTTGCTAGGCATCTACAACATGAAGCCAAGGGAACTTCATTCATTTTCAGAACTGACATCATTATCTCACTCCCATAACCTACTCTGCATCCTGCATTAACTAGCTTTGTAAATTTCACCAGTTATTTATTCAATAAATAGTTATTGATCACTAAATTATGCTAGGCACTCTGGTAAACTTACAAATAGTAGGTTATTAAGATAAGTGAATTTGCAAGTTCACTTAAGAGCTTAACAGGTTACATACACCATGCTGTACTTGGGAAGTGAGAAGACAGAAAGTCATTTTATTTGCTTTATTTTCATCATCTGCAGAATTCAATTAGGCTACAGGTTCTTTAATATTTGTTAATTAAATTAAAAAACACTTATAATTTGATAGGTACCTATCTCCTTCTTTGTTTACCATTATTTCCTTCAGGTCACCATTGACTCTCACCTAGGTGACTACAACAATCTCCACACTGATCACCCTGTTTTTATTATTAAAACCTCCAAATAGCTCTGCCTTCTTATTGTTAAAATAATCTTTCTGTCATAAAAATACTGTTATGCCACAACACTGCCTAAAATCATTAAATAGCTCTCCATTAACAAGATTAGGTCTTAAATTCTTTTGTTGGACAAAAATGATCTTGCCTATCAAATTAGTACTAATGCTCAATCTATACTTTACAGAAATATCAAGTTACTTGTTCAAAAACACAGTTGTATTTATTTCTCCCATATCTTGAATTTTCCATATGTTTTTGCCTCTTCTCAGAATTCTATCTTCAGGTCTTCATATCTGGGCAAAATGTCTTCAACTTTCAAGTCTCAGATTGAAAGTCTTTGGATTTTGAAGCCTTCCTATATTCTGCCAGAAAAATTATTATACTGTTTCCTCTACTTTCTCTATCTCATTTACTGGCTCTTACGCATTTTTTTTTAAAAAGATTGTTTATTCTTCTGTCTACTAAGTAGCCTGTATCATGATTCACTCATTTATTTTCTTCACTTTCTATACTTTTCCATTTGTCTGAAATGTATTTGGAGTGATCAACTTTCTCATGTCTTGAGATAAAAAATTATACAGGCCTTTGTGTATCTCCAGTTCATAGCACAGTGCTTGATATATGTAAGGTGCAAATAAAACACTTTTGAAATAAAATAGAAAAGGACAGAAAGAATGAAAAAATGTAAGATAAAACCCTCAGATCTAGAGAGTCAGTAATACTTTAAATATTAATAACTCAAAATATAACACCTACTGAGGGTTTATTACATATTTTTGGTCACTAGCAACTGATATCATATGACTAGTAATTATTAGAGTGAAAATCTGAATATGAGCAACCTGAGCTGAGAATGATATATGTAATAGAAATGAATATACTTGTTGAATATGTGTGTGTGTGTGTGTGTGTGTGTGTGTGTTAAACTCTAAAAGTGGCCTTTAGTTGGTTTGGTTTGTTTTGTCATTCGTCTGATTTCCTTGAAAATAATAATCTGTATAGTTTACTAATTAAACCTTAGTGATCATCCTTGATGACAAAAGATAAATGATGAAAGAGAATCATCAGATGTTGTGATCTATGATTTTTTTCAGGCCTCTCCCAGATGTCTTGCCTTTGTAAGTTCAATTCATCTTCCTAAGAAATCATTGAGGGAGGAATCACGACTCCCATCTCACAGATGGAAGTGGGTGGAGGCCCAAATAAGAACACCTACCTAGCATTTACATCTGTTTTGTGGGCCAGAAAACACACATTGGTCTAAGGCCTTATGGCATAAGAAGAAGGAGTCACTCTTAAGTGCATTAAGTAGCCTAGGTGATACAGGAGAAATTGCTTTAAGAAATTTTCATGGCGAAGCATTACAGAACCATCCAACAATCTTTAGCATGAGTTTACTTTCTTCCCCAATGAAAACAGTCAGAATTCGGCAAATTAAGCATTCTTAATGGTGGCATATTTCTGGATGATTTACGAGTGTCTTTTAAGAAATAATATGGCATATATTTGAATCCAATAATAGACACATGTTTCATCTTGATTAACTGATTCTACCCAGAAGGAATAAAAATGACTATAATAAGCTGACTACCCAATGCAGCAATAAATCTCAGGCTTAGCCATAATGCAGAACTAACAAATGAAGCACCATTCTTTACATCCCCATGATATTAGAATGTAATAAGAACATTTTCTCTCTGTAATGTGGCTTAGCATGGAATGAATGTGATGAAACCTACTGCCTCTGTGCTTTAGAAACTGGTCATCTAGTCAATGAATTCTTACTGACTACTACTTTGTGCCAAACTCTGTGTAAGAATCAGGGGACACAAAGGCAATGAGCATGGCCACTTCCCTCTCAGGAGCTCACAGTTTAGTGAAGAAGAAAAGAAGTTAGGCAAGGAAATAAATCACAGTGTTAACGATTGTCATAGAGGTAGACAACATCATGAAAACACAGATTAGTAAGCCCTTTTCGTATCACTCACTAGGCACCATCCTTTATAGGGTATCTTATTTTTGCTTGCTGTAATTCACAGCGAAATTATGCAAAGTAAGTATAATTCCATAATTCTCAAATAAGAACATTGGGACTTGGATTAAACAGTTGGAGAAGCTGGGATTTAAACCAATCTATGTAGCTTCAAAAATGAATTTTTAGGGGGCACACTGCCTCTCAGGAACCAATTCATAAGTCTCATGTTTACAATGTACTTTCGCACATATTATAGTATCATTTCTAAGTTTTAATACTGTGGTCATGTTACTACCAACTCCTCCACTCTATATCTTTGTGACTTTGGCTGTGTTACTAAACATCTCCGTGCTTCAGTTTCCTCATTTGTAAAATATGGATAATAACAGTAGCTACTTCATAGTGTTGTTGGAGAGAATAAATGAATTATCTGTTGTAGATCAGAGGTTGGGAAACATTGTTTTGTAAAGGGCCAGAGGGTAATACTTTGGGATTTGCTGGTGATATCATCTCTGTAACATCTATTCTGTTCTGCTGTTGTAGCACAAGATTAGCAATAGACAGTCTGCCTATTGGGTGTTGTTATATTGCAATGAAACTTTATTTGCAAAAACAAGTAGGGGGCCGAATTCAGCCTTTGGGTCTTAGTTTGCCATATCCTGCTATAAAGTATATGCTGAATAAGTATTAGCTAATATTATTATTACTAATATTAATTTTAAGCTAGAAAAACTGAGATGCTAAGTGCCTTATCCAGAGTCAAACATGTTGTATATTTATTAGGGCAGAAGCTAGTATCCAGTCTTCCAAATTCAAATCCAGTGGTATCTCCTTAAAAATCCCTTCAAGAGTATTTGCACATGTACCCTAAAACTTAAAGTATAATAATAATAAAAGAAAGAAAGAAAAAAAAAAGAGTATTTGCTAACTCCAGTGACCTTTCTGATGTGTCTGTTGAGTGTATCTCAACATCACAGTACGTTTCATGAGGAATAAGTGCATCTTTTCCATTTCAGGCCCCAAGTACTTACTTACTGAGGTAGAAGAATAGGGGTTTTAGATGGAATAACTAACATATTGATAATGAAAGTAGGATCCTTGATTTTTGCTGTCTCTGGAGATGGCTATTCAGAAGAACTATAAACAAAGTTATTGTTATAGCTTTGACTTTCATTTGCAATTAATCTTCAATTAATATATCATCAAGTAAGCATAACCTGGACATTCTGACCTTTCCTGCTTCTAAGACTCTAAACTTTGTGGGAAATGCTTGAAACCTCCGTTGATCTTTTGTTATTTTACCCTCTTTCAAGATGTGTTACAAACCCCACTACTGCAGGCATGCCTGGCCATTCCTGGGAGCACTGATGTCAATTATTGCTCTGATACTGTTGACTCTTTCACATTTAGTTTTACTATTTACAAAGCCCCTAAGGCCTTTTAAGTACTTTATCTCTTAGACATAACTCACTCTATCAAGGTTAGTTATTTTATGCAGATTCCAGGGCCTCAAATGATAGAATGGAACAGGGTCTGGATTTGCCTCTAAATATTTCTGGGATCAAATCCAGACTGCATGCAATTAACTCTATAACCATGGGCAATTTGGAGGACTTCTCTGATCTTGCTTCTTTGTCTCTAAAGTTGAAATAATACGTATGTTTTAGTGTTAAGAATGCATAAGACAAATGCTAAGAAACTCCAGTATGCTTGCAGCCTACTTTTTTTCTCACCATATATTCCTTTTTTTTTCTACTTTGTTTTCTTAACCTGCCTTGCTGAGGGTAAGCCTTTGGAATTTGTTCATTGATGAATACATTACTAGAGAATTGGTCATCATTTGAAGAATTGGTATACTTCTTGATGTTCATTTAAAAGTGAGTTTTAAAAAACTTTTTTTATATACTTTGTCTATTTTAGCCAAAATAATTTGGTTTTGTTTTACATATATTTTAAGATAAATTTTAAAATTCATTCTATTTTCTTGATACCATGCAATTTTTATACATATCATTTTATGTACAGCAAACCTGTATTGTTTGAGTCTTTATGACTAAATAAATAGATTCCCCAAGTTCATCTATTCTATTTATTTATTGTTGCGCATTTTCAAAGTAATTTTACATCTGCCTTCAGAAAGAGTCATGAACCAAGACAAGGACCTATCAATCAGATTTTGTCACAAGGAAATACACTGATGGAATTATAGTGATTATGGAACCATGCACTGTAAAAGTAGAACTTGGGTCTTCTGACTCTCAGTTCCTAAAATATGCCACTATCTGTTGTCACTGTAGGCACAAGTCAAGGAAAACCTAAAGAAGGGAAAGCAGGAGATATGCGTTGCAAAGATAAGAGCTGGGCTAAGTGATATGTATGATGAAATTCGGTTTTCAAGCCCCACCCCATACTGAGCAGCTTCAGTTTTCCTGAGGTGATACATTTTGAGATCAAAGATAGGATATTTGAAGAAAGCACAACTAAGAAATACAGATTTCAGACAGGTAGATCATTTTGTTACATTTTACTACAAATTATATAACTGCTTCACTTCAGAAACACAGACATCAATTCCCACTGACACCTGAGAGCTACTTCTAATATGAAGAAATATTGCTAACATGTGAATTTATATGCCAACATTGTCTTACTCCTTGAGACAGGTATTATTATTATTATCCTTTCTTTATAGATAATCAAATTGAGACATAAATAGTTTAAATGAGTTTCCCAGGATTATATCTGGATCTGGTAGCTGATATAACTGGGATTTGAACATAAACATTCTATCTCTTGGGCCGGTGGCCTTAGCTACTACAATATTCTAATCCTCTAGTAAGGTCCTTTGTTATTCAGAATATTTAATTATCTGTTGCTGGATTTTTGACTTGTTAAATTACTTAGTAGACAGTGAGTCTCTAAACTATGCTCTCTTTTTCCAAATAGCTGAGAGTCTCCCAGTTAGCTTAGGTCTCTGTGAAGAGATAATGGTCTCTCACAGAGGAAATGGTGTTAAATGTAGTAAGCTAGCATTTATAAGTTGGAAGGAAAGTGTTCATATTACTTCCATATCCTTCTAAAAATGATCAAACTGCTTGAATGGATATGGCTGAAGGCACTGAAAGAAAAATGACATATAGGAAAGCAACCTAGCTTCATAGGACATGGTGTCATCAGGTGTTTTAGCTTTGTGACTTCACTATGTTATGTGATCCTAGGCCTCAGAGCAGGAACAGGGCTGTGGAAGCCGATTGGGTGGGGGTGTCTATTCTGGGTTTCAATTACTTCTCTTTCAGTCCTAAAATTTTTGAAATAACAGAGTTTATTTCTTCAAATGTATAATGGCGATAATAATGGAGTGTTTGAATTGATAAAAGAAAACTGTCTGTTACAGATATCTGTGCCTGGCATTTATTAGGTGGTTGATAATGTTGTATATACATGCATAGATATAATATACACATATTCTCAAACTTCTCCAGGAGGTAAAACAGGCTCCACTCAATTGATGGTTAAAACCAGGAGTGCTAGCATCAAACTAACCCGGGTTTGGAGCTTGGTTCTTCCACTGTCTATTTGTGTGACATTGGGCCAGTTATTCATCCACTCCTATTTTAAGATGAGGAAATTAATATCACTTACCACCTTCACCATCAAATGAAAATGTCTGTAATGGTTGGAATAGTTTGTAATGCCCAGAAAGTGAAATGTGTAGTCTCTATTTGTCACTTATATCTATATATTTTTTAAAAATCACATTTTAGAGTTGCTGGTTCCCACCCATTGATTTGTGTGTTCCAAATATTCTTCCCCCAAAATGTCTGAAAATCCCAAGATGTCCTAGGTAAGATGAAGATAATTCATTTAGAAATCTATAGGACCAAAAGGAGGAGAGAATATGGTCCAGCTCATCTCATGGGCAACCAACCTTTAGGCAGATCTCAGCCTCTCTGCTTCTCTATGCCCTACTATAAGAGACACCCAGGTTCATTGCCTTTCTTACTATGCTGCTTTTTTTCATTTTCTTTAGAGTCTGTTTATCTCTGGGTCTTTAATTATCTGTCTTTTGTGCTGCTGCTGAACTCTGATTTAATGTATCACTTCATCTACGTTAGAAATTCTCAAACTATCTATGGTGCAGGGCCAGTGAGTTTGTTTTCTAATTTATAGCTACAATTGTTTCCTTTATTGTCTCATAGTTATAGAGGCTAAAAATCTGAAATTCAAGTGTTGTCACGGTCCTACTCCCTCTGAAACAGAGCGCGGAGTCTTCCTTGTTCTCCAGTATCTGGTGTCCTATTGGCAGTCCCTGGCATTCTTTGGTTACAGCTGCAGTACTTTAATGTCCGCCTCTGTCGTCACTTTGCATTCTCCCTGTGTACCTTTGTATTCACATGACATTCATCTCTGTGTTCAATTTCCCCTGTTCTTAGAAGAACACTGCTGTGGATTGGCTGTTCCCAACCAAATCTCACCTTGAATTGTAATCCCTATAATCCCCATGTGTCAAGGGTGGGACCAGGTGGAGGTGATTGGATCATGGGGGTGATCTACCCTATGCTGTTCTTGTGATAATGAGCGAGTCTCATGAGATCTGATGGTTTTACAAGCATCTGGCATTTCCCCTGCTTGCACTTACTCCATCCTGCTACCTTGAGAAGAAGGTGCCTACCACTCTTTTGCTTTCTGCCATGATTGTAAGTTTCCTGAGGCCTCCCCAACCATGCAGAACTGTCAATTAAACCTCTTTCCTTTATAAATTACGCAGTCTCAGCTACCTCTTGATAGCAGCATGAGAATGAACTAATACAAACACGAGTCCTGTTGGATGAGGGTCCACCCTAATGACTTCATCTTCACCTGATTACATGGGCAAAGATCCTATCTTCAAATAAGATCACATTGTGAGGTACTGGAGTCAGGAATGGAACAAATCTTTTGGGGGAAAAATTCAACTCATAAGTAGCAAACAGATCATGTTTTTCTATATCCTACCCAAGGAGACAAGGCTAGTGCTCAGGTGCTTGAATATCACAGCAATGAAAATGGTTATTCAAAGCTTAAACATTGTCTATTTCTGCCTTACATCACCATTATTCATAGTTTGTAGACCAACGCCTCAACGATGCTATAGGGAGCTCTGCTTTGAGTGACAAACCGATAGGAATGTGAAGGTTAGTTGGTGAATTCTGCTTTGGAGCCATGAGGTTGGACACTTTTAAAGGTTGTGCCTATTCAATGTATGCCAGCAGGACCGATGGGGCTCTGATAAGTCCTCCTACCTTACTGTTCCATCTCAGCATTGCTCTTCCCTTTATTTTCATCTAGGTAACTCTTGTTTATTTTCTATAACTCAAATTTGATTTCCCCTAATGCCCAACTCAGTCTAATTAAGATGTGTTTCCTCCCTATCCCCAGAGCAGCCTAGCATGCTTCCATGCTAGCAAAGCACTACATTTATTGATCAACGTGTCCCATTTTGCCTTAACACAATGAATTAATGCCCCCTGAAGAGAAGATTGATTTCTTATTCTACCTGTTCTCACTAGTGTCCTTCTAGTGCCTGCTTCATGTTGTGTGTATTTCCTTACATTAATACATGAATAAACGAATGCATTCTCTATCCTGGCAAAAGCGCTGCTTATCACATTGGAGTCTCCTTTTTACCAGATGTTAGAGCTCTCATGACAATACCAAATTTAGGATAGTTAATTTTTAGAGTCTGACTGAACATGAGACTTCCAACAAAATAATAATGACCACTGAACACCTTTCAAGTGATGTTTAAATAGATTGTATTTCTCAAGGTTGATTATCTTTCTGTCCTGTAAGATGCACTAGTGTTCATATTGTATTTGAGAGATATGCTGTACCAAGCTGTAAATGTCCAATTACATATTGTGAAAGCAACCACTTATGTACTTCATTTAGTATTTAAACAATCATCCTAACAGGAAAGTAACGATTGTTAAATCTGTCCACAGTTTTGGAGGGGATGTATTTTTGAGGTTTTTCATTTTTAGTGCACCGACTAGAGATCAATTTACCTTTATCGTAGGAAATAATTCTAAAACCCCATTGAAACTCTGAATTCACTTATAGATATGATAATTTCTCATGTCAGTGATTCTTAACCCAAAAGTCCTTGTAGAATTGTCCAGAGGATGAGAACTTGAAATCATGGTGCCTTGAAAACAATTGGCATTTAATTAATATCTGTAGAGTAGTACTGAAATGAATGTAATAGACTCGCCTACACCCTCATTAGACTTTCTTTTTTCTAAAATCAATTTGTCATCATTTTTGATAAAGACGTTCTTTTCAGAAAGTTGCATTCTAAATTTGTATGTTACCAAAATCATTCTATTCACTCTTTTCAAGGGGCAATTACGAGTCATTAAGGGACTAAAGAATGTACTATTAATCAAGTCAGAGATTGGTTGATTTATCATTGTCAGTTTCAGGTCCATGTTCATCAAGTTTTCCTTTCAAAGATCACTGGGAAAAGTGATCTTATGGTTTTAAACGGCACAGTAAAATTTTTGCCTAGAGATCAAAGGGAATTAACTTCTACTGATGGGTTTCATCCCATCAGGACCATCAGGACATATGATGGACATGCATGAGTATCAGCAGACATTTTTTAGGTTCAGTTGTCCTCTCCAGAGAATACAGGGATTAGAGAAAAAGAAGCTTGATGAGGGAAAGAACGAAAGTAATATTACTTTCTTTTGTCAAGAAGCTTGCTACTTCTGGTAATGCTAACAATTCTATTTTGCTTGTCAGGAATTTTGTGCTTTGCTACTCTTAATTTTGTGTAATAACCATGTCAAATAAAATCAGTAAAAATGTACAGTCATTGTGGCTTCATTTACATACTACTTCAATTCATGAATTATTTTGCAATGCTCTTTAATAGAGGAACAAAAGTTTGTAAATCACAAAGTAGATTACTAGTGGCTATTTTCTCAATTTTTCATTAATTCTTCACCTATGTCCTGTTTTTTCTCATTCACCTGCAAGTCTGAAGACCAAATGTTCTTTGCTTTCAGTAGTATAAGCAGTGCCAGTGGAATAATACTCTGCTGAGTAGCAGGGGTTTGTTTTGAAATCCACTTAACTCTGGGTTAAGAGGATTTCAAGAAAGCAATCATAAGAAAAAAGGAGAAGAGAAGCAATGCAGTTCTGCGAAACTTTTTTTCTCATCTCCACTTCTAAAACGCTACTCAATGTGTGAATAATTTCTCCTTTCCAATACTGTACCCCCTGCTTTGCTTGACCACCTTCCTGCCAATTCTGGCTCTCCTGTCACTTGAAAATTGCTATGTGGTCTGGGCACAGTGGCTCACGCCTGTAATCCCAGAACTCTGGGAGGCCGAGGCGGGTGGATCACTTGAGGTCAGAAGTTAGAGACCAGTCTGGCCAACATGGTGAAACCCCATCTCTACTAAAAATATAGAAATTAGCCAGGCGTGGTGGCAGGTGCCTGTAATTCCAGCTACTCAGAAGGGTGACACAAGACAATCGCTTGAACGTGGGAGACGAAGGTTGCAGTGAGCCGAGATCATGCCACTGCACTCCAGCCTGGGCAACAGAGCGAGACTCTGTCTCAAAAAAAAAAAGAAAAAAATTGCCAAGTGAAAATCAACTTTTATTGCTGCCAATTCACTGTGTGTGTGTATGTGTGTCTGTGTCTGTGTGTGTACATGTGCCTTTTAGGATCATTCTGGCTTTTTTTGAAGTGAATGCTATTCCTCTGTAATTATGTGTTCTTTCTCTGTCTTTCTGCTTCCTTTGGAAGAGATAGAGAAGGGAATGATCACGGGAAGCTTTAGGCTCCACAAGTCTAGCCTGACTCATACAGTAGTACAGGTGGAGGCTCCTGCAAGAAAGCCTGGTCATGAGCACAAACAGTGCTTAGATTCAACCTACATTTCTCTTGTCAAATTTTACACCTGGGATTGTTTGCAAGAATTGTGTGTGCATTCATGTATCTGAAAGTATACACCCAGAATAGATAGCCCCTTATTGTTCTAATTGGTGCAAAGTCACCATATAAGATAGCAGTGAACCTCAGTGACGTCCTAAGGAGAAATTCTAAATGATGCAAGTTAAATACTTTCAGTCTCCTGATTCTACTGGCATAACGATTTAAATAATCTTACCTGTGCCCTATTTATAGTTTTTTTGTGATAGTAAAAAAAATCATTTTTATTATGTTAATAACCTCATGTAATTCATATTTTTGATTTTTATCATTTATATATTTCAATATAGGCTCCTAGAATTTAGTAAACAGATTCTGTCACCTGAAATGAACACTATGCATGTCAGGCATGTAATTAGAGCATTGTTCCGTTTCAATTTATGAAGATATTCCTTTTTTAATGTCATCAAATGTAAAGACTGCTTTAACTACACTTCCAGATATATTTACCTAGAACATTATTGATTTGATTTGACTTCTCTAAAAATGATAGTATTCAGTTCAGTTGACTGTTAAAAAAAAACCTTCCAAATAAACTCCTAAAGTAGAAATGTTTGGATTCTTATGGTATGTGGCTTATACATTCACAGTTATATATATGAAGAAGCTTGGATACAATCAGTTGCAAGAGGCAATTTTTTTTTTCCTTTCATTAGTTCAAAATGCCTAATTGTTTTAACTTAATATAAACACTTAGGTTGAAATTTAGGTGTTGTCTCTTGGTAGTTGTGTGACACTGTGTCCGGAATTGGTGAGTTCTTGGTGTCACTGACTTCAAGAATAAAACCGCGGACCCTCGTGGTGAGTGTTACACTTCTTAAAGATGGTATGTCCGAAGTTTGTTCCTTCTGATGTTCTGACATCTTCAGAGTTTCTTCCTGCTGGCAGGCTCGTGGTTTCGCTGGCCTCAGTGAAGCTACATACTTTCAGGATGAGTGTTACAGCTCATAAAGGCAGTGCAGATTCAAACAGTGAGCAGCAACAAGATTTGTTGCAAAGAACAAACTTCTATACTCTGGAAGAGAACCCAAGCAGGTTGTGTCTGTTGACGCAGGCAGCCTGCTTTTATTCTCTTATCTGGCCCCACCCACATCCTGCTGATTGGTCCATTTTACAGAGAGCCGATTGGTCTGTTTTACAGAGCGCTGATTGGTCCGTTTTGACAGGGTGCTGATTGGTGTGTTTACAATCCCTGAGCTCAAGACAAAAGTTCTCCACCTCCCCACTAGATTAGCTAGATACAGAGTGCTGACTGGTGTATTTACAAACCCTGAGCTAGACACAGAGTGCTGATTGGTGCATTTACAAACCTTGAGCTAGATACAGAGTGTCCATTGGTGTATTCACAATCCCTTAGCTAGACATAAAGATTCTCCAAGTTCCCACCAGACTCAGGAGCCCAGCTAGCTTCACCCAGTGGATCCCGCCCAGACCCGGGCTGCAGGTGGAGCTGCCTGCCAGTTCCCCGCCGCTGCGTCAGCACTCCTCAGCCTTTCAGCGGTCTGTCGATGGGACTGGGAGGCGTGGAGCAGGGGGCGGCGCTCCTAGGGGAAGCCGGGCCGCGCAGGAGCCCACGGCGGTGGGCTGGGCGGGGTGGGGCGGGAGGGGAGGCTCAGGCATGGCGGGCTGCAGGTCCTGAGCCCTGCCCGGCGGGGAGGCAGCTAAGGCCCGGCGAAAAATCGAGCGCAGCAGCTGCTGGCCCAGGTGCTAAGCTCTTCACAGCCCAGGGACGGAGGGGCCAGCCGGCTGCTCCGAGTGCAGGGCCCCCGAGCCCACGCCCAGCCGGAACTCGCGCTGGCCCGCGAGCGCCGCGCGCAGCCCCGCTTCCCGCCTGCGCCTCTCCCTCCACACCTCCCCGCAAGCTGAGGGAGCCGGCTCCGGCCTTGGCCAGCCCAGAAAGGGGCTCCTACAGTGCAGCGGCGGGCTGAAGGGCTCCTCAAGAGCGGCCAGAGTGGGCGCGGAGGCCGAGGAGGCGCCGAGAGCGAGCGAGCGAGGGCTGCAAGGGCTGCCAGCAGGCTGTCACCTCTCAGTACTGACTTAATTAACTTCATCAAGCCTTCAATTCATCATTACAAGTAAGTCTCAGTTATGGCATGGATCATAAAGATACCTATATGAAAAGAAATATTCATTGTTTATTTGAAATATGTTTAACTTTCCCTTCTGTATTTTTCGCAAATGACAGCAAATTATTTATTTATTTATTTCCAGGGTATATATGCACAGTTTGCCGGTTTGTTACATAGTGTCATTGTGGCTTGCTGCATGTATCAACCCATCACCTAGGTATTAAACTAGCATGCATTAGCTCTTTTCCCTAATGCTCTCCTCACCCCAGCACTCTGCCAACAGGTCCCAGCGTGTGTTGTTCCCCTTTCTGTGTCCATGTGTTCTCATTGCTCAGCTCCCACTTACAAGTGAGAACATGCAGTGTTTTCTTTTCTGTTCATGTGTTACTTCGCTGAGGCTAATGGCTTCCAGCTTCCTCTACCTCCCTGCAAAGGACATGATCTCATTCCTTGTTATGGCTGCACACATTTTCTTTATCCAGTCTATCATTAATGGGCATTTTGGGTTGATTCCACGTCTTCGCTATTGTGAATAGTGCTGCAATGAACATATGCATGCATGTATCTTTATAATAGAATGATTCGTTTGGGTATATATCCAGTAATGGGATTGCTGGGTCAAATGGTATTTCTGGTTCTAAATCTTTGAGGAATCACCACACTGTCCTCCACAATGGTTGAACTAATTTACATTCCCACCAACAGAGTAAAAGGATTTCTATTTCTCTGCTACCTTGCCAGCATTGTTGTTTCTTGATTTTTAATAATCGCCATTCTGACTGGTGTGAGATGGTATCTCATTGTGGTTTTGATTTGCATTTCTCTAATGATCAGTGATGCTGAGCGTTTTCATAGTTTTTTTGGCCACATGTATGTCTTTTTTTGAGAAATATCTGTTCATGTCCTTTGCCTACTTTTTGATGGGGTTGTTTTTTTTTTTTTGTAAATTTGCTTAAGTTCCTTGTAGATTCTGGATACTAAACCTCTGTCAGGTGGGCAGATTGCAAAATTTTCTCCCATTCTGTAGGTTACCTGTTTACTCTGTGATAGTTTGTTTTGCTGTGCAGAAGCTCTTTAATTTAACTAGATCCTGTTTGTCAATTGTGACTTTTGTTGCAATTTGTTTTGGCGATTTCATCATTAAAATCTTTGCCCGTGTCTGTGTCCTGAATGGTATTGCCTAGATTTTCTTCTAGGTTTTTTATAGTTTTGGGTTTTACATTTAAGTCTTTATGCCATCTTAAGTTGATTTTTGTATAATGTGTAAGGAAGGGGACCAGTTTCAGTTTTCTGCATATAGCTAGCCAGTTCTTCCAGCATAATTTATTAAATAGGGAATCCTTTCTCCATTGCTTGTTTTTGTCAGGTTTGTCAAAGATCAGATGGTTTTAGCTGTGAGGTTTTATTTCTCAGTTCTTTATTTTATTCCATTGGTCTATGTGCCTGTTTTTGTACCAGTATCGTGCTGCTTTGATTACTGTAGGCTTGTAGTATGGTTTCAGTTCAGGTAGCGTGATATCTCCAGCTTTGTTCTTTTTGCTTAGGATTGCCTTGGCTATGCAAGCTGATTTTTGGTTCCGTATGAATTTTAAAATAGTTTTTTCTAATTCTGTGAAGAATTTCAAAGGTCGTTAAATGGGAATAGATTATAAATTGCTTTGAATCTATAAATTGCTTTGGGCAGTATGGCTATTTTCACGATATTGATTCCTCCTCTCCATGAGCATGGAATGTTGTTACTTCTGCTTGTGTCCTGATTTTCTTGAGCAGTGGTTTGTAGTTCTCCTTGAAAAGGTCCTTCACTTCCCTTGTTAGCTGTATTTCTACGTATTTTATTCTGTTTGTAGCAATTGTGAATGGGAGTTCATTCCTGATTTGACTCTCTGTCTGTTGTTGGTGTATAGAAATGTTTGTGATTTCTGCACATTGATGTTGTATCCTGAGACTTTGCTAAAGTTGCTTATCAGCTTAAGAATCTTTTGGGCTGAGTTGATGTGGTTTTCTAGATATAGGATCATGTCATCTGCAAACAAAGACAATTTGACTTCCTCTCTTCCTATTTGAGGATGCTTTATTTCTCTTGCCTCATTGCCCTCGCTAGAACTTGCAATACCATGGTGAATAAAAGTGGTGAGAGTGCATTCTTGCCTTGTGCCAGTTTTCAAGAGGAATGATTCCAGCTATTGCCCATTCAGTGTGATATTGGCTATGGGTTTGTCATAAATCGCTCTTATTATTTTCAGGTATGTTTCTTCAATACATAGTTTATTGAGAGTTTTTAACATGAAGGGATGTTGAATTTTATTGAAGGCCTTTTCTGTGTCTATTGAGATAATCATGTGGTTTTTGTCTTTAGTTCCGTTTGGGATGAATTATGTTTATTGACTTTGTGTATGTTAAACCAGCCTTGCATCCCAGGGATGAAGCTGACTTGAGCGTGGTGGATAGCTTTTTGATGTTCTGTTGGATTCAGTTTATCAGTATCTCATTGAGGATTGTTGGCATTGATCTTCATCAGGGATATTGGCCCGAAGTTTTCTTTTTTTGTTGTATCTCTGTCAGGTTTTGGTATCAGGATGATGCTGGCCTTACAAAATTAGGGAGGAGTCCCTCTTTTTCAATTGTTTGAAATAGTTTCAGAAGAAATGCTACCAGCTCCTGTTTGCATCTCTGGTAGAATTCAGCTGTAAATCCATCTGGACCTGGGTTTTTTTTGTGGTTGGTAGACTATTTATTACTGCCTCAATTTCAGAACTTGTTATCAGTCTATTCAGGGATTCAACTTCTACCTGGTTCAGCCTTGAGAGGTTGTAAGTGTCCAGGAATTTATCCATTTCTTCTGGATTTTCCAGTTTATTTGCATAGAGGTGTTTATAGTATTATCTGATGATTGTTCATTTCTGTGGGGTCAGTGGTGGTATACCCCTTGTCATTTCTGATTGTGTTTATTTGAATCTTCTCTCTTTTCTTCTTTATTAATCTAGCTAGCAGTTTATTGATTTTATCGATATATTTTTTTAAATGGCTCCTGGATTGGCTGATTTTTTGAATGGTTTTTCATGTTTCTATGTCTTTCAGTTCTACTCTGAGCTTTGTTATTTCTTGTCTTCTACTAGCTCTGTGGTTTGTTTGCTTTGGTTCTCCAGTTCTTTTAGTTATGATGTTAGGGTGATGATTTGAGGTCTTTCTAGCTTTTTGATGTGGGCATTTAGTGTTATAAATTTCCCTCTTAACACTGCTTTAGATGCATCCCAGAGTTTCTGGTATGTTGTCTGTTTATTCTCATTGGTTTCAAAAAACTTCTTGATTTCTGCCTTACTTCCATTATTTATCCAGAAGTCATTGAAGAACAGGTTGTTCAATTTCCATGCAGTTGTGTGGTTTTGAGTGGGTTTCTTAATCTTGAGTTCTAATTTAATTGTGCTGTGATCTGAGAGACTGTTATGATTTTAATTCTTTTGCATTTGGTGAGGAGTGTTTTACTTCCACTTATGTGATCAATTTTAGAGTGTCATGTGGTGCCAAGAAAAATGTAAATTCTGTTGTTTTGGGGTGGAGAGTTCTGTAGATATCTATCAGGTTTACTTGGTCCAGGGCTGTGTTCAAGTCCTGAATATCTTTCTTAATTTTCTGTCTCAATGATCTGTGTAATACTGACAGTGGGGTGTTAAAGTTTCCTACTATTATTGTGTGTGAGTCGAAGTCTCTTTGTAGGTCTTTAAGAACTCATGTGATGAATCTGGATGCTCCTGTATTGGGTGAATATATATTTAGGATAGTTAGCTGTTCTTGTTGAATTGAAATCTTTACCATTATGTAATGCCCTTCTTTGTCTTTTTTGACTTTTGTTAGTTTTAAGTCTATTTTGTCAGAAACTAAGATTGCAACCCTTGCTTTTTTCTGCTTTCCATCTTCCATTTTCCTCCATCTCTTTATTTTGAATCTATGTGTTTCTTTGCACATGAGATGTGTCTCTTGAATATAGCACACCAATAAGACTTGTCTTACTATCCAGCTTGCCATTCTGTGACTTTTCATTGGGGCATTTAGCCCATTGACATTTAAGGTTAATATTGTTAAGTGTGAATTTGATCATGTCATCATGATGCTGGCTTGTTAATTTTGCAGACTTGTTAATGTAGTTGCTTTATAGTGTCATTTGTCTGTGTACTTTAGTGTGGTTTTGTAGTGGCTGGTAATGTTTTTTCTTTATATGTTTCGTGATTCCTTCAGGAGCTCTTGCAAGGCAGGCCTGGTGGTGACAAAATCCCTTAGCATTTGCTTGTCTGAGAAGGATTTTATTTCTCCTTCATGTATGAAGCTTAGCTTGCTCTGACATAAAATTCTGGTTTTGAAATTCTTTTCTTCGAGAATGTTGAATATTGGCCCCAGATCTCTTCTGGCTTATAGGGTTTCTGCAGAGATGTCTGCTGTTAGTCTGATGGGCTTCCCTTTGTTGGTGAGCAGGTTTTTTTTCTGACAGTGCTGAGCATTTTTCCTTCATTTTGACCTTGGAGAATCTGAAGATTATGTGTTTTGGGGCAGATCTTCTCGTAGAGTGTCTTTTTGGGATTCTCGGGATTTCCTGAATTTAAATGTTGGCCTATCTTGCTAGGTTGGGGAAGTTCTCCTGGATGGTATCCTGAAACGTGTTTTCCAACTTGATTCCATTCTCTCTGTTTCATTCAGGCACTCCAATCAGTCATAGTTTCAGTCTTTTTACATAGTCCTAAGTTCTCAGATGTTTTATTTGTTCATTTTCATTCTTTATTCTCAAATCTTGTCTACCTGCCTGATTTCAGCAAGATAGTCTTCAAGCTCTGATATTCTCTCTTTCCCTTGGTTGATTTGGCTATTGATACTTGTGATTGCATCATGAAGGTCTCATGCTGTGCTTTTCAGCTCCATCAGGTCATTTATGTTCCTCTCTAAACAGGTTATTCTAATTAACAGCTCCTGTAATCTTTTATCATGGTTCTTAGCTTCTTAGCATTTGGTTAGAACATAATCCTTTAGCTCAGTGAAGTTCATTATTACCTACTTCCCAAAGCATACTTCTGTCAGTTCATCCATCTCAGCTTTAGACATGTTCTGTGCCCTTGCTGGAGAAGTGTTGTGATCATTTAGGGTAGAAGAAGCATTCTGGCATTTGGAATTTTCAGCGTTCCTATCTTGGTCTTTCCTTATCTTCATGGATTTATCTACCTCTGATCTTTGAGGCTGTTGACCCTTGGATGAGGCTTTTATGAGGTCTTTTTTGTTGATATTGTTATTGTTGTTGGTTTCTATTTTTTTTTTTTTAATTCTAAGAGTCAGGCCTCTCTTCTGCAGGTCTGCTGCAGTTTGCTAGGGTTCCACTCCTGACCTTGTTCACCTGGGTGTCACCAGTGGAGGTTGCAGAACAGCAAAGACTGCTGCCTTTCCTTTCTCCAGAAGCTTCATTCCAGAGGGGCACTGACCTGATGCCAGCCAAAACTCTCCTGTATGAGGTGTCTGATGCACCCTTTTAAAAGGTCACACCTAGTCAGGAGACATGGGATCAGGGACCCACTTACAGAAGCAGTCTGACTGTCCTTCAGCATAGCTGGTGCTCTGTGCTGGGGGAATCCCCCTCATCTGGATCACCCATACTCTTCATAGCCAGCAGACAGGAAAGATAAAGTCTGCTGAATGTGAGACCATGGCCACCCACACACCAACCCCCAGGGTTCTGTCCCAGGTAGATGAGAGTTCTGTCTGCAAGCCACTAGCTGGAGTTGCTGGGATTTCTGTAGAGAGGCCCTGCCTTGTGAGGAGGGATGGATTCGGGTTCCACCTAAACAAGCAGTCTGGCCACAATCTGCCACAGCCACTGTGCTGTGCTGTGCTCTGCTGTGGTGAGTACCATCCAGTTTAAACCTCCTGGTCTCCCCAGCACTGGCTGGGCGAAAACCACCAACTAGAGTCACAGTACTGGCCGTTGCCCCTCTTCCCTGCCCCAGGAACTCGGTAATCTTAGCGGACTCCAGTCTGCTGTGTTGGCCAGCAGGGATTCCAAGCCAGTGGGTCTTAGCTTGTGCGGTTCTGTGGGAGTAGAAACCATTGAGCGAGGCCATTTGACTCCCTGGCTTCAGCCCTCTTTCCACGGGAGTGGACAATTCTCCTGTCTCACTGGAGTTCCAGGTGCCGCCAGAATATGTAAAAACTGCTGCAGCTCATGCCTGCCTGAAAGATCAGAGCAGCTGCCATGGGCCTGCCTAGTTTTGTGCTTGAGATCCAAGGCCCTGGTGGTGTAGGCTCATGAGTGAATCTCCTGATCTGCGGATTGCAAAAATCCATGTGAAAAGAGTAGTACCCCAGGAGGGTAGCACAGTCTCTCAACGCCTCTCTTGGCTGGGGGAGGGAGGTCCCTTTGTCCCATGCAGCTCCCCAGTGAACCCTCACCCCAACCTGCTTTTCCTTGCTCTCCATTGGTCACGCCAACTGCCTAGTCAGTTCCAATGAGATGAACTTGGTACCTCATTTGGAAATGCAGAAATCACCCGCCTTTTGCATTTGTCTTAGAGACTGCAAACTGGAGCTATTTTTGCTCACACATCTTGACCCCTGCCCCCTTCCTTCTGTATTTTATCTGGTAAAATTACTTACAACTTATGTTCTCCATGGGACACTTTCAGATGCAAAGTTAATGAATTAGCCAACATTAATTTATTCTCTTCTCCCTTCCAGCAAACAAAATATTCTTATGATTCTTTTCATAGCCTGGTGGTGGTATTGTTGTTTATGTACGTGTCTATGTCTTCACTTACTTTGTGAACCACTGAAAGGTAAGTGCTATGTCCTGTTCATCCTTATTCCTCTTCCAAAGGAGCAGTTTCCCTTCTCAAACACAACACTGTACCTATCCATAAAAGTGACTCTCAAATAATAAATTTACATGCATTCCTTTGGTGTTCCAGAGTGAATTATTGAAAAAAAAATGGTTTTTGAGTACTGATGTTCTACGCTTCTAAAAAACTTTGTAAATTTTAATTTGCAAAACACACGCCATGTGTCGTAATTTGTACTACAAAGGGATTCTTTCCATCATAACAAATATTCATCCCTTTATAAAACTGTTTCTTGGTTGAATTATAATCGTTGATTTATTAAAATTCAATGTATCCTCACTTTCTAACTTCAGAGCAAAGTTAAATACAGCTAAGTGCCTTCCTTTGCTTAAAGATAATTTATTTGTAGCAGTCACACAAAAAAAATCAAGTTATTTTTCTATCCAAAAAAACTCAAATGGTGTCTCTAAAGATTTTCAGAGCAAAGAAAAAAATATTAGGATGCTTCTCTAGATGAGACCATATATATATATATATATATATATATATATATATATATGCACACATTATATATATGTGTATATATAATGTGTATATATGTGTATATATGTGTGTATACATATATATATAATGTGTGTGTGTGTGTATATATATATATATATATATATACATGTATCTCTTCTAAAATTTTTAAGAAAAAGAAAAGTTTAGGGTAGGTTATTCCTCTGATATAACTGCTTATCAGTCCACCTGACACAGTTCTTTTTCTTTTTATCTGCTACAGACTATAGGTATTTTTTCAAATCCGGAAAGTTATTAAGCAATACCCTGCACAGAACTTTCCAATGGCTTCCTATTGCCTATTCTAAACTTCTCAATATTGTATAGCAGGAAGATTATGTAATTTGTTCTGAAAACTAGAACATTTTGAGAATGAAAGGAACAATAAAAGTAATTATATGATCTACTTCCTGATGGACAAATTGTTGTTACTCTATTGGTAAACCTAAAAATAGCTATATTTAAATTAAATTTTTGAAACAAATTTAAATCAATAAAAATGTAGCCACAGTAAAGCAAGTTAAAAAATACACATCATATTGTCTATTAAGTAACATAAAAGTAATCTTGGAACATATTTAAATATATTTTAATTGTTTTCTTAGGTATATCTTTCATTATTAATTTCATGTTATTGGTATTTTATGAACAAGGTACATTTTTCTATTTAGTTTTGGTACTATAACCATGTTCATAAAATATCTTGCAATCTCTATGAAAAATGGTTGCACTTAATAATTAAAAATAATTACTGTTTTTCCTTCTTTAGTTTTCTATCTAGACTATATTTCTAATTGAGAAAATATTTTCTATATAAGTGCTGATATAATTGGCAAGATCAAAGCAAACTGTGTCAAATAAAAAATATCCTCAATTCTTTTTTTTTTTGTAAGAAATATGAAACTGGTTCATAATGTGTTCATAAAAACTATCCTGTTGGTTATAATTTCTTGTGTTTCTTTGAAAAATATTTTTACAAGACAATGTCAAATTATTTGTGTCTATGTTTTTAAATATTTCATTAAATTAGATATTGAAAAATTGTTTTTTCAATTTCATTTAATACCTATACAGAATATTCATTTTAAATTTAACTATTAAAAATAAGAGTTTTAGTAGACAATTCCTTCCAAAAATCTGTACATATAAAACTTTAATTATAAAATTTCATAATTAAAATCTCTGTGTCATTTTTGGCTCACAAAATTTAATTTTTTCAACTTATTACTTGATTTGTAGAGAGACTTTTCAATGTCTTCTTGCTTACAAGCTTTATTTTCTGTAATTACAATTTGCTAAAAGCATAAAAATTGAGGTTTTCTGGTTCTTAAAGTTGGTACAATTGCTTTTTCATTAAAAAAAAAAAACAGCTCAACTCTGTTTGTCTCTGCTTGATTTTTCGGTGTTCATGAAGCCTTTTCTCCTTGCTGGGGCTGTTTTAAATTAGCTCCCTTATCTGTATCCCCACCCAAATCTCATCTTGAATTGTAATCCGAATTGTAATCTCTACATGTTGAAGGAGGGAACTGGTGGGAGGTGATTGGATCATGGGGAAGTTTCCTCCATGCTGTTTCTCATGATAGTGAGTGAGTTCTCAGGAGATCTGGTACCTTAAAAGTGTTTGGCAGCTTCCTTTGTCCTCTCTCTCTCTTGCCTGCAGCCATGTAAGATGTCCCTTGCTTCCCCTCGCCTTCAGCCATAACTGTAAGTTTCCTGAGGGCTCCTCAGCCATGGGGAACTGTGAGTCAATTAAACCTCTTTTCTTTATAGATTACCCAGTTTGGGGCAGTTCCTTATAGCAGTGTGAAAGTGAAGTAATACACTCCCTTAACTTTTTTAAGACTTAGATAGTAATAGTAAAAATAGAGAATACGAATGTTTTGATTTCTACGATTAGTGCAGCAAAAGTAACTAGACAGCATTAACTACTGCCTGCCTCCTCTCATAAACTTAAATGTAATTTAGGGTTTTTTTCTCTCCTCCTGAAAGTGCATAATTTTCTCAATAAGTAAATGAATACAATTAGATACCAGAACTAGGTTACACAAAGGTATCAAATTTTTAAGTCTAAGTAATACCAGAGCTTGGATGACTTTTTTTTTTTTTAAATAGAGACAGGATCTCACTCTGTTGCCCAGGCTGAAGTGCAGTGGCATGATCATAGCTCACTGTAGCCTCGAACTCCTGGGCTGAAGTGATCCTCCTGCCTCAGTCTCTCGAGTAGCTAGGGCTATAGGCACCAGCTTCCCTGCCAGACAAGTTTTTTATTTTTCATTATTTTTGTAGAGGAAGGGTCTCTGTGTGTTGCCCAGACTGATCTCAAACTCCTGGTCTCAAGTCATCCTGCCATGGTGGCCTTTCAAAGTGCTGGGATTACAGTCATTAGCCACCATGCTTGTCTCATTGAAATATTTTGAATGCACAAAGCTCATGATGAGAATTCATAATTTCATATTATGCTTAAAGCTGAAATTAATCTTAATATCATCCAAACCCATATTTTATAGATAAAAACATTGAGGATAAGAATTTGAATGACTTAAATGAGTTGATTGCCTTCCAACAACAAGATAAGGATATTTTAAATGCATGTATTAGTATAATAATAGTGAGAGACGGTGTCATAAAACAGAAGCAGCCTTTGATGAAATACAGAAATATATTCAGAAGTATTCACATTTAGTCCACTTATTATTACTTCTTTGGCCTTTGGCCAGTCATTTAGGACACAATTTTCTAATAAAAATATTGGTATTAAATACTAAATAAATATTGGTCTCATGCCCGATACATAATTTGGATCAAATGACTGAAATATTTATTACTCAACTAATGTTTGTAGTATTTAGTGGGCACTAGATTTTAGAGTTGATGTAGAGATGAGATTAATAAAATATACTTTAATGCTAAAGTATTATTCTTGCATATTCATGAAAAAGTGCTTGCCATTTAAGCCAGTATTAGGATAATGAGGAAATGCCAACCTTCATGGAGAACCAGGATAAGAGGGTTCGATGAAATCTCTGAGTAGCTAAAGGGCTTATAGTTTTTAATAAATTCAAATAAGTTCAGTATGTGTAGAAAACATTGAGAAGAAGGATAAGGAGTGGAAGATGTTCTGTTGTTATTGCAGCAAAAAGCAGAACATGTAAGACTTCTTAGGTGAAAGAGCTGAGATGTATTCCAAGTTGACATCAGATATAAGGTCCATTAAGTGCCTCGTCTCAGAGACTGTATCTATGACAACTTTCTTCTCAATTCCACTTCCTCCACTCATTTTTTATGGGCTCTGTCTGAGCCTTGACATCACTTAAACTGATCAGAGTCTAAAGGCATAAAGTCTCATTGATCCCTTCTTCTATGGCCTTTACTCAACTGCAAAAACCATGCCTGCTTTTCAGTGTTATCAAGAACTTTTGCCCTATTTTTTTTCAATTTCTTTTGCTTTACTTCTGTTCCCATTCTACTGAAATTACAGGAAATATTAAAAATGTTACCTGCTCTGACTGCATATCAGAGTTACTTACTTTTTAAAAAAAATTTAATAATTTTATGAGACGTTTCATTCCTGGAATAAGGACCCTCCTTCCATAAAGTTGATTAGGAATAGCTTGTCTATTTTAAAAGAAGTTTAGGAGTAGCTTATCTTTTTTTAAAAAAATAGACAATTTTAAAATTTTAAAATTCACCTATAAGTGAATTTTAGGTGATTTTGATAAAAATCTCAGTATTTTTACTGACTTATCACCCTTGTCTTATACTTCTTTCTCATTTTACCTTGTTATTTCCCCTCTAGCCAAGACACTAAAAAATAAAAAACTTACCCCTGGGTGCAGTGGCTCATGCCTGTAATCCCAGCACTTTGGGAGGCTGGTGCAGGTGGATTACCTGAGTTCCAGAGATTGAGACCAGCCTGACCAACATGGTGAAACCCCGTCGCTACTAAAAAATACAAAAATTAGTCAGGTATGGTGGTGTGCATCTGTAATCCCAGCTACTTGGGAGGCTGAGGCGGGACAATCATTTGAACCTGGGAGGTGGAGGCTGGAGTACAGTGGCAGAGATTGAAGTGAGCTGAGATCATGCCACTGCACTCCAACCTAGGTGACAGAGAAAGACCCTGTCTCAACAAAACAAAACAAAACAAATAAAAAATAAAAAACAAACCAAAAAACTCCTACCCCTGAGTGCTAGAAATCTCCAGAAAAAATAAATCATATAACCACACCATTTGTTTTTATTAAAATTCTATACTCTTTACTCAAACATTGACTTCCAATTTCCACAAACAAATTATTTCTGTTTTCTCATAAATTTGCTCTTACGTTTTCTCAATCAGTTTCTTCAAGTATGTAATCTCTACAAATGGCCTACCCAACATTCTTCCTTTGTTTAATCAGGGTTTTTTTCCTCTAATTTCTAAGCAAGGATTTGCGTATGCTTCCTTTTATTCTAGCAGTAGGAGAAAGATGCATTCTTGCGTGTAGGACCTGTGCTCTGGGTCTCCTCCTATCCCATCTCCACAAGGAACTTACGATTAGTAGCTCATCTGCTGTATTTGCATCTGTCTTCTACTTCTCGGCATGCAGAGATTCCTTCTTATAGGACTTAAGTAGATCATTTCTTCTTAAAACTTGGCCAATATTAACATGATGGCCACAACTATCAGGTTGGTGCAGAAGCAATTGTGACTGTTGCCATTTGACATTTTGACATTTTCATGTCAAAAACTGCGAATACTTTTGCACCAACCCAATACTTTTACCCAGTGTCCCACTCCAGCTTCCATCCTCTCTGTTCTTCACGAATTTTTAAATTTCCAGTAAAATTATTCTGTTCAACTACCCCAATACACTTTTTGGTCTCAAACCCTCAGAGTGGCATTTCACCCTGCTGTTTGCTATGCTCCCTTATAAATCTCATTTGGCTCCCCATTACACCACTGTCTCCTGGCCTTTCATTTCAAATTCCTTTGTCATTTACCTATTGTTTATTCTACTAATTTTTTAAATCAGTGTTTCTCAGAATACAAATACAGGCTCTCTTCTCATCTTTCTTTGTTTCTCTTTCGATCACACTGTAATCCAGTTTACTGAGCCTTCATCAAATAAGAGGATGCAATTTCTCTAAAGTTAGTGATATTCATATCTTATTTTTACATGTCTTACTTTGACAGTAACTAGCAGGCTTTCTAATAAATTGTGAGGACTAGCTCTGATTTTTTTGCATTATCTTGCCCAAATTCCTGTCTAAGGGGTCTGGGGAGTCATGCCCTACAAACCATACATTCTTACCGATGAGTTTTATTTAACCTTATATATTGTTACTTACTTTTCAACCTACCTCTGGCATAACATTATGAGACAAGGAAAAAAATCAAAATACTTTACCCCAAAACATGCTTTGTCATATCTTGAAATGGCCCTGCAAAGCTATCCTTTGTGGGAGAAAGTGTGCATCTGTAAAGAATCTCTATTAACATAGCTAGAACTTTTTCTTCCAAGCCTTCTCAATCATGAAAAGATTAAGTAAGAGTCTAGCATATTTTTAAATGTCTGAATAGGAAATATTTGTCGTCTGTTGTCTCTAAGGGCAGCCACTATATGACTTCAAAAGAACCTTGATAGTTGTAAGTGTTCAATAAATGTCGGTTTAGTAAATACTTCAATAAATAAGTGGACATTTGCTTTGAATACAGTGAAGCAACTTTGTTTACTATTTCTTTGTACTTTTCTTAAACTCTTTGACTGTCAGTTTCCCCACCTGTAAAATTTCCTCAGATCTTTAATTCTTAAAGGTTTCTCATGAAGTTTTGATAAAATATTTTGTGTCATATTTGTGCCTGGCCTAGATCAAATGAAGAGCTGATTCTGTTAAGTTTGCACAGTTATTTTACTCAGAACTGAGTAGCAACACAGTCCAGGAATGTTCAGCTTCATGGACATCAGGAGAAAAGGCAACTAGGGAGGTTGAACAGTCTCTAAAGTGAAAGACAGGGTGGAAACTATATTGGAGATGTTAATCTTTCACACAGTAAAGATACTTGCAGAAGCACCAAATTCCTCATATAACATTAGAGAACCATCATTTGTTTTGGACACGTATTGAACAGCTTTTCTTATAAAACCTAGCCTGTTTTATGGAGCCATTTGGAAAGGACATTAACTATTGATGAGATATTTAGAGCAGCAAGAAGGTGAATAAGGTAAGATATTGGTGACAGGAGGTAGCAGCTGAGTACAATGGTTTTCTCCCGCAAGCAATAAACAAACCCAATCATAGAACAACTTAGAAATCCAGATTGGTAGGAACCAGACTCAATTTTAAGGGAAAAAATTTCTTAGCGGACTGAGCTGCTGCTCATTGTATGTTTTCCAGTGGAGCAGTAGAGATAAGAGAGGAAATAGCACTGCCCTGGAAAGTGAGGAAATAGCCTATGATTTCTCTAACTTCCAGTATATAAAGTACTAAGATTGAACCATATAACTCCAAATATCCCTTCGGGCTCTGAAATCCCAGAATCCTATCACTGCAATTAACCCCAAAGTGGAACTCTTGATAAGACAGGCATGGCACTCTCCTTCACACCTACGTGACTACCAAATAAATCAATTAGACATCAAAAAATGTATGTTTTACTTAATATTAAGGATTCCTGAGAATCTTATTATAAATGCCCAAATATGTGGCTCCTAAGTTATACCCAGACCAGGTAACTTAATATATGAGCAATTTCTTCCTTAAATTTCTGATAACATATGCATTAATTTTTCCAGCTTTAACTTCTTTGATGGTTACTAAATGTTACATAGTTTATGTGTATACTCATGAGCAATTCCTTGTCTTTTTTTGTAAAGTATCTTAATGTTTTTCTTTCTTTTTGTTGTTGTTATTTTTGTTTTTTCCTAAAAATGGGAGTCTGGCTTTTTCAACCTAGTTTCCAAAGAGAAGAACTCAGGTAATTTGATCAGTGATAATTATTAAATGAAATATTTTTAGTCCCAAGGGAAAACACACTCTAATGCAGAATCCAAACAACTAGCATCTTTCTCTCAGTTTTGGAGAGATGGGATCTATCTAAAGGACACCTCGGAAGTCTATACCAGAACTTCAGTGAGCACGAAACCTAGGGCAGCATCCTACTGGATGCTGCACAAGGGCGGGGGCAGAGCCTTGTCATCTGCACTCTTCAGTTCATCCTATAGATCCTCTTTATCATAGGTGCCAATGAAATGTTGAATGTGTATGTCCAAAAGACAGCCATCTCTTTAGGTAGATTTAATGTAGAAGACAGCTTTCCAGAGTAAGCAAGTCTAGAATCTTTGAGTCAGTATCCTAATTTGAGTCCAAAGGCTGTGAGCTTCTTTAGAACCAGGAAGAGCTAACATTCCAGTTTGAAGGGCATCCTGCAGACTTTTCTCTTACTCAAAGGATGATCACTTTTTTATTCTATGCAGGTCTTCAACTGATTAGACAAGGCTTATTCACATTAGGGAAGGCAATCTACTTTATCCAGTCTGTTGATTTAAATGCTAATTTCATCTAAAAACCTCCTCACAGAAACACCTGGGATAATGTTTGACCCAATATCTAGAATCCCGTGGCTCAGTCAAGTTGACACATGAAATTAAGCATCACAGAGGCTAACAAACAAAGAGCCAGAGAGGGAAGTGGAAAAGAGTAACAAGCCGTGACAAAAAATTAGTTGGAGGCAAGGCTAGGCCATGAATCTTAGGTTTTTATCTCTTAGTCCTAGGCAATTTGTATTACCCCATGATGCATTTTTTTGAGTTTGCTGTTGCCCAGTCTAAGATAAAGTGGAGATGAAAAAGAATTTAAAAGTTGGATATGGCAAATATATAATAAGAAATTTAACATGCTTCTGTAGGTTTTTATTAGTAAAAAAAAAAAAAAAGCAAAAAAATTGTCCACGTTTGCTTCATGTTCTTGAAATATTCTTAAAGCTGCTTTCTTTGTTTTTGGCTTTCATTTGTGTTAACTGTCAGGAATCATTAGCATCAAGTATGGAAAGGATAATTACTGAGCAATAAATTTTTATTTATGTGCAAGGTGTAGTTTTTGTTCTGTTTTTTCATTTTCTCCTAAACCAGCTAGCTACGTAAACAATTACTTAAGAAAGGAGTCTTCAAATTAATTTGAATCATGCCAGACTTGGCCTTTAAGAGGATTACTTTAATGACTATACTTTATAATTTCTCATAGCATCTATAGAAATACTGAGGTTGAAACCTTTTATATAGGATATTTTTAGGAATTTGACTTGTGTGTGTGTTTGCACAATATGGCTTTTATAATAGAGAATGCAATTAATATCTGATTAATTAGTAATCAAATACCAAATGAATATTTTTATTCATAGATATTGTATGGAAAAGTCTGCACCTCATTCCAAAATCATGTTGAAGTGGAAACTTTTTCAACAAACATATTTCATAGTGTAGCATGGCATAGCTTCTGACATCTGTACTCTTAGCCCATTTAGAAAGTATGAAAACTCAAGATCCTTCACATCTTTTTGCTCCACTTATGGCAGAAAGACAAGAAATAATGGTTGTTACAGAAAACATTGTCCTGATAAAAATTTACGTGACTTTTTGGAAAAAGAATCAGCACCGATCAGGCTATAAAGTTTCTTAAAGATAAATAAGGCATGAAATAAACACAAATTTTTAAACATATAACTATAACATATAACATATATCTAGGTATGCTAGATATTTTTAATGCTAGTTTTTATTATTTAATACTTATGACAAGCCACTCAAGGTAGATATTACTGTCTTCATCCATCATTATAAAAAATTAAACTTCTGAGAAATTTGGTGATGACTTGCACAATATAGTGCTAGTAACTCACAGAGAAAGAATACCAAGAAAATAATGATTGGTTCTAAAACATATTTTTGGCAGATACATAGATATATATGTATGATATGTCTATATATATTTATTATATATCTATATATTGATGTTTATGTTCATTGAGACGAGATCTTACTCTCTTGCTCTGGCAGGAGTGCAATGGCACAATCATGATCACAGCTCACTTCAGCCTTTACCTTCCGGGCTCAGGCAATCATTCCACTTTAACCCACCAAGTAGCTGTGACTGCAGGCATGCACCGCCACACCCAGCTAACTTTTATTATTATCATTTTTGTGTGTGTGGAGATGGGGTCTCACTATGTTTCCCAGGCACTTCTCAAACTCCTGGGCTCAAGCAATTCTTTCTCCCTGGTCTCCCAAAGTGCTGTGATTACAAGTGTGAGCCACCATGCCGAGCCTTACCATTGATATCCTTTTAATATGAGATAATCGGAGCTTGTGCGGAAAGCTTCATTACAGTACCAGGGGAATGACTGTATCACAGAACACATAAAAGTGAACTAGATCTACAATGATGGTGTCTAGAGAGAGTTTCTGGATTAGAGATAATAGATGCCAGGTGGCAAATATAGACTGTAGGTCAATGAAAGCATTTCTGTGTCCCCAGGGAAGAGTTTGTCTTTGCTTGTCAGGACCTTTAAACCTACAAAGGCCAATGTTGTAAAGATGAGACACACAACATGTACAAGATTGGGTGTGTTGTTTCCAATTACATAAGAACACCTCTGCTCTTATTCCCTGGGAACATTCATTCCACCTAGCAGGGTGCACTAATGTATACATTTATTTGATTCGGGGTGTAGTAACTATATTCTGGAAGATATTTCCCTTCCTCATAAGTATTGTTTATATAGCAAGGCTTTACTTGAGTCTTCAAGAGGCTGGTCCAGTGTTCTACCAAACAATGAGTTTCCGGGTAGTATGATATGTAAGATAACTAGTAGACTTCAAGTTATGGGCCCACTTCCACATCTCTATTGCTATACAAGCATCCTTTGGCGTAATGTAATACTGTGTAGGCTCGCATACCATCACAACAAAACACTCTCTAAGTCATTAGACAGTGGTCCCTGAGGGTGAGAAAAGCAAAACAATGCCCAGAATATATGTATATTTATTTTAATATGAAATGCTGATTCCTTCGAGATAGGAGATGTCCTAGGTGAGTAACTTACCAACAAGAGCCTGTTGGTTTTCTTGAGAGATAATCCCATCTTGGGGACTCAAGGTTGCCCTCTGCTTACGGTAAATTATATAATTAATGACACCAGTGGCTAATCAGTCTTGGCAAGTGGGAGCTCATCCTTTTGAATCCATGGCTTCCATTACTGTTTGCATGGTCACTGAATACATAGTTCACTGTACCAACACTGGGGTGGCCATGGCAGAAACTGGCTGAAGTTCCATAGCTGTGCCATTTTATAATGTGGTTGCTAGCACCATCTGACGTTATTTCTCAGTAGGCCGCACAAAACCCAGCCTATGATGGACATCTAGGGCTGTATGGTTATTTGTTAACTCACGGTCAAGCTCTATGACTCCAGCAGATTTTATGACAGTATGCCAAGTGCTACTTTTTAAATATGATTAATTCTCTGATGTAGTTGGCAGTTTTGATCCAGAACCATAGTAGTGTGTATTTTTATTCTCCCATTGGTGGCTATAATGAACTCTTCAAAACATTTTTTTCCCACCAATGGTACTTGTAATATAATTCTAATATCATGGTGTTTGCTAGAGCTTATGATCCTAGCCTCAGGGCTACTTGTACTACAGCTTAGATATACTGCAAAATGGTTTTCCTCCTTTGGGCTCCTTTCAAAGCTTGCAAACTTTTGTGTTACCCAATATACAAATCAAAATGGCATTCCTGGGGTGAAATATAATATTCTACCTCAATACTAAAAGTAAGTTATTGGGAATTATGTCTCCTTCCTTCCTGGGGGATTTGCAAGGTATAATATGCTGTCATTTACTAGGGGAGTGGGATATTCTAGCATACCCTAAACCTCTGGTCCCTCTGAAAATTGTACTGATGTGGCAGGACCTTGAGTCTTAGTAGCATTTATTTCCTGTATTATGGAGGACAGATGTCCTATCAAAGTCTTCAACATGCTGGCCAATTCTTGCTCATTTGCTCTCAATACATAATGCACCACATTAAGGAACTACCAGATGGGGCCGATCTCTTCAGACTATTCACTGTAACAGAATGCAGGATCCCTAAAAGAACCCAGGGACAAAACTTGAAATGTATACCATTGTCAGTTCCATGTGAATGCAGATAGTTTCTAATCCTCTTCTAACGGGAATAGAAACCATTTGCCACATTACCTAAGGTCATATAATATCTTATCTAGCTAAGATACTCCATCTGGCGCAGCAGCAATAATAGAAACTACTAACAACTTCGTTAAGTGTGTAGGAATCCTCTGTTATCTTCCAGGTCCTATTTGTGTGTATGTGTGTGTGTGTGTGTGTATGTGTGGGGTTTGCTGAAATTCATAGAGATATTTAAGGAAACATATTCCTGCATCCTTCATGTCTCTATAAGTGATACTAATTTCCACCATTGAACCTGAGATGTGATATTGTTTTTGACTATTTATTTTGGCAGAAATGAGGTGGATAGATTTTAGAGGCTTCCACTTGACCTTCCCCAGTATGATAGCTATAAACCTGTAGGCTGAGGATATGCTTTGAGTCTTGAGCTAATAAACAAGTATGTCTATATGAAGACTACATAAATGATCAGAGTGGGTCCAGGATTCAACGGACCCAATTTCAGCCAGATACAGACTAGAATTCATTTATGGCTTGACTCCAAAATATGCTTAGTCTAATAGGGAGGCATGATAATATTTTGGTCCACTTCGTTCCTTTGTTCAATGGTGTTGAAAAGTTTGGAGTATTATCCTTTACTCAGTGGACAGTTGATCAACTAAATGGCCATAACCACCTGTAGGTAAAGACCAGGAAGCAATGTCATGCACCGTTGGAAGGTTGCAGGCTCTTTGGTCCCAGTGACCCAGGCTCTTCTTTAATCTATCAATTCTGAGTCTGAAAATTCACTCGGATTTTGACACTGAGAAAGAAATCTTTTTATCTGGGAGATGGCTTTCAGCCTCCTAATTATATACTTGATTTATTTGGATTATACCAATAGAGTAGTACCCTCTTGGCTGCCGATATATTTTACCCCTAAGGATGTCCTGTTTTATAACCATCTCTGTAACTTTTGCAGGCTGTTGAGCTGGTCCTCCATCTCTGCCACTCATTGCAATAATTGTTACCACTGGGCTTCTGATGGCTGAGTGAAATCTCCCGTCCTCTTCTGCTGTGGAGGTCCTGTCACACCCATTGCCAATGGTAGCCCAGTTCTTTGGCAACCTCTATCTGCTACAGTCAGCCCTGGCTCATAGAGCACAGCCTCCACTCAGCTCCTAAGTAGTGCTTTGTGCTTCTCACCAGTGAGTTCGTTCGATGTTGCTTTAGTAAATATTATATCCTTTGTGACCTCTCATGGAAGTTAGTCTTCTAGAGTTCTGCAAGCTGATATCCTATGTTCACTGCAGCATGTAACTTCTCTAAGCATTTCAGTCTGTTTTTTCTACCATCTGTCATTGCAACTCTGATGGCTCTACCACACTTAAAGTGTGCCATTGCTCTCTCCATGCTTCAATAATTCATCCTAACAGGGTATTTCACAATTTCCCAGAGTCTGTGTTAGAGTGTTAAATCCTGTGTCCTAAAAAAGTATTTTCAAGTCAGTAAACTCTCCCTTAGCTATTGTATGACATAATTCCCTCAAAATTCAGCACTATGCATACTTTCACAGCTTATTCTAGTATACGTTAATAGTCTATAGTCATTTTCTTTCCTTATCAGGCCCAGCATGTCTTCACCTGGGTTATGTTCTAATAGAATTCTTACTACTGGCCTCATGACCAGATAGTGAGGGAGTGGTATATCCTGAGAAAGGCCTAGTTGTCTTGTTGAATTGCGGGAAAGAGGCCTCTGCATTGTCTGCAAGCAAGAGGACTGTGCCACTGCTGTGCTCTCAGAAGGGTCCAGGGAAATCAGATTAAATTATTTTCTGAAGAGTCAACTCCGGTGTCTGCATTGCCTATGTCAGGACCCCATTCCATTCCAACCAGGTCCTTCGTCTTGGCATAAGACTTGTTTGTATTAAGAGTTTAAACATTTTAGGGGTTCAGTGCCTCTTAAAATTAACTCCTGGTTCTGGTCCTCAGCCTTCTCTGTCCTTTCACTGCAGGGAATGAAGGCCCATTTATATGCTACCAAGGAAGCCTTCTGAGTTTTAACATTTAGATTTGGATTTTCAAATAATCTATCTCAACCTTTTCATATTACCTTTTCCCTAGCAATAGCCATCTGATTCTGTTGTTCTTATAGTTAGTATTTTACTTAATGTTTCTCAAGTCATTGATACACTGCACCAGCCCATGAATTGGTTTTCACTGGTATATACCGTCTACCCCAACTACCAAGGGGGAGTTTCAGCAATTGTATTGTCACCTTGCCCAGGGCAATATATGCTTTAATTATCACCACTGATGGGGTCTTCTTTCCCAGTTAGGGGCAAGTTATCCAGTTCCAAATCCCATCCTAATGTCTTCTTTCTTATACCTTTTCTAGTTCCATCCATTGAAGTCTGAGTTCCGTGAGAAACAGAATCAGAACTCTTGCCAATTGGACTGCAAGATGTCTTCATCTACGTATGCTGTCATAAAAAACACTATGGACTATGGGGCAAGAAAAATGTAATATTTTTCTCTCACGGTTTTGGAGACTGGAAAGTTCAAGTGTCCAGCAGGGCTCATTTTGTGTTGGGGGCTCTCTTTCTGGCATGCAGATGCTTCCTTCTCGCTGTGTCCTCGCATGGTGGCAAGAGAGCAACCTCAGGTGTCTCTTTCTCTTTCAAAGGACACCAGTTCTCTCAGATCAGGGCTTCACCGTTATGATCTCTCTTAATCTTAATCTGTCCTTCAAGGTCATATTTCCAACATAGTCACACGGAGGCTTAGGGCTTTTAACATACACGTATGAATTTTGGGGGACACCATTCAGTCCATAGCAAAAGGCCAGCTTCTGATATTCCCACATCAGTCAGTGATTGGATATAGACCAATGGGAATGTGTGATAATCCTTGGATCATCTGAGGCAATCTCCAAAAAGGCTGAAAACCGAGGGCTGCCTACCGCTGGCACTCTGAGCAGCATACACCACATGCTCCATCAGTGTTACTGCCCTCAGCTGGGGAGAACCCCCCTCACACAAGTTGTGATACCTTCCTAGAGGCAGCCTGCATTCAATGACAGCTTGAGAGGGGCGTAAAGGGCCAGCCACTCTGACCTGATTCAGGACAATTCTGCAAGGCTCTCCAAGCTCCAGAATTCCTATACTGTTTCCTGAACCTTTGTTGTCACCGTTTCCCAAACTACTTTTCTTTTTGTCAATCCTGACCCTTTCCCTCTCCTACTACAGATGTTGGTCACTCGAATACTCGCAGCACACTTCTATGAATGAATCTTTGTCTCAGAGATTGCTCCCCAAGGAACCCAGTCAGTGCCATCGGAAATCAAAACATTTATTTATTTATTTTAAAAATATGTAAATAAAATGATTATTTTCACCATTTTAATGTACAAGTTAGTGATCATTACACATTTAATACTTGCATGAAAACATCACATTTACCGCATAAATATGGACAACTATTATGCATCTATTATAATTAAAAATAAAACATTTATAAATGAGAACATACTGGAAATGTGTAGTCATGATGGTGGCACCATCTTATGTTTTTAAATTAAGAATTTTGGAGCAGGAAATGTTTTCTGTCTGTACCTAGGTCTTTACATATCAGAAAATTTCATAAAAGACCAGAATAAAAGTAGCCATACAAAATACAACCACAAAATATGTATTAAATAGCCTACCAAAATGCCACAATGTATCATTATAATCACTATTAAATATTTATTATGCAACAGTATCATTTATGCAATAGGATTTTTTATAAACCAGCAATTTGCACTTTGAAATTCAATTTCAGTGAATCACAAGCTTAAAAATTGAAATTCAAATTAAGCATTTCCTTTATTCAAAGTCATATATCATATTGAAAATAATCTGTATTTTTATTGCAAAAGAACACTTTAAGAAAACCCTAGAGAATTGTTTGACCTAATAATTGTAATTGTGCATGTATTTCTTAATATTATTGATTAAATTTATATTTAGCCATTTCTCTCAGCTATATATAGTTACAGCAAAGCTATTTTGCATCAACATATATGTCTCCCTAACTATGATAAAGAATATGGTAATGATGTTGTAAATTGATTGGAAAAGATGATCTATCAATTCTTTTGCAGCTTCCGAATTCCAAAAGGTCATTGCATGCTATGTGTATATTTTTATTCTTTCAAATCCTTCCGATTACACAGAAATAATAAAATATTACCCACAGCAACCAAACTCAGTGTCGTTTACTTGAGACCCATATTCAGCTTTAACTCCCTTAGATTTTTCAGCAGGCAGTATTGGTCAATGCTTATAAACTCAGTCCCTGAATCACAAAGAGGTGTTGAATTCTGTCCTGACACTTGCTAATAACCTTCAGCAACTTAATGTCTCTAAGCCTCAGTTTCTTTCTGGCTAAATCAGGACTGATAATAATAATGTTTATACCAAGGAGTTATTTTTAGAATAAAATGAGGTAATGGATGTACAATGATGAAACCAGGGCCCATCATGTAGCAAGTGATCAGAAAAGGTGAGGTGCTGTTTTGTGTCTTTTACCTTCCTTTTATAAAATAGGTCTTGTGTACAAAAAGAGTTTTGGAAAGTATAAAGCTTTAGGTATAAATAGACGTTTATTAAGCTACTACCACCCAAGTCATACCTCCATGATTAATAATGAAAGGTAGGATCTGTCACATACCAAAGACTAATATAATTATATATTAATCATCTGCATGAGTCCTAAATTAGAGTGCATTTTCTCCTTTCTACAGATGAGAGATTTGAAAATCAGTGGTAAATGATTTGTGCAAAGTGAAACACTTGGCACGTAATGAAACTGAGCATCAGTTTTATGTTATTTTGAATTCAAAGTGTATAGTTACTTCCTTATACTATTTTAGCTTTCTAAAGCAAATGCTGAGAATAATAGCAATTAATTGCCCTACTTATTCTCTAAAATTTATTTCAGTGTCAACATTCAGATGCTTTAATTGGTGAATTTCTCATGCCTTAGACTCTCACTTAATCTCAGAAATTTCCACGAAGGGAAGTTATAGCACATTGGCTTTGTGAGTTTATATGTAATCCAATTTATAATGTCCATGTTCTTAATTTCAGAATTGCTGGCAATTTTATGGCCCATAATAAGGCACAAAACAGTCCACTGGCAAAATACCAGAAACAATGAAACCTGGGTATTTATGGACTAATTTTCTCACCAGAGATACTGTTATTTTGTGACTTGACATTATGGTTTGCTGTCAATATAGCAGATAAGAATTAGAGAAGCGGTCATTAAGAAAATGACAATTCCTCCCCTCCTTTATTTTCAAGATAAAGTCATTGACTAGGAAAGATAAAGAAATAATAAATCAGGTAGGTACATTTATAAAGGGCAGGCACAGGTAGGACAGTAAGAAAGAATTAACTTTTTGACACTACCTAGAAGCGAACTTACCGTGAGTCAGGCACGAGTGGATCCACAGCTTGCTTTAGACCATAAGGGCATCTGGCACCTTTGTACTGTTATGGGCTCTTAGTGCCCCTGGCAGGGTCAGACTCTGATTCGTGTATTAATATTTCATAAAACATTAATACTTTTTTGATATCCTGGACTTAGCAGTCACAGTGTTTTCGTTTTTGGTTTTGTTGTTGTTGTTGTTGTTTTTTTAAGAGCATAGGCTAAAACAGGTTAATAGGTTTTGGAGTCACAGAAATAAGTAAGAGGCTAAAAGAACAAGGCACCTCTTTTACTCTCTTTCTTTCTCTCTCTGTGGCCCATATTCTGGCCAAATCTTTGTTCTGAAAATAAGAACTATTTCCCTGAATATAATTACAGAAAGAATGGGTCATCCTAGACGTTTGTGTTTGTATATCAAGTTCTGATTTACTTATTTGAAATAGTCCCTGAAAACTTTGAAACTAACTTTCCCTGAATTCCTTACATCTCATTAAAGTTTTTGTTTCATCTACTCTTTAATTCTGGATAAGTAGTCTAGGAAGATATAGCATAGCACTAGAGGAAAAAATAATGAGTAACAAAAATTATACATGAAATATATGAGTATATAATATATATACCACATAGGTTTATGTATATATTCATCATTGTATATGAGCGTGTGTGTTTGTGTGTCTGGGTATTTATATGTAAGGCATGATGTTAACTGTTAATTACTCCGCCCTAGGGCATTGGTGAAAGTCTTATCTAGGAGTAGTAAATGGAACCTCTCTCTCCTGATTTGTATTTGAAGACATTTAATTTTTCATTGCCCTTGTTCTGGGTGTACACTTCATTTTATTTGCCTTTGTCTAACACTTGGATCAAAATTGGTCTTTTATGTCTTGGTCTTTTATGTCTTGGTAAAAATGCTATTTTCTTAAATTAAGTAAATTTATAGTCTCTGAAACTATTAGTCTATATCTACAAGTTCAAATTCAGGCTTTCACTTTAGTCCAGTAACTATAGTGCTAGGTCCAGCTTTTTTCAGCCACTTTCACTGACATACGCCTCTTGTGAATTCAGCTTCAGTCAGCTCTTGAATCACTCATGACTAAAGCAAGCACTATGTTAGGAGTAGTGTATTTATATTGGGCTGTTTTTATATATAATATATATAATATATAATATATGTATTATATATAATATATCATATAATATATATCATATGATATATTATACAATATATCATATAATATGATATATTATATGATATATTGTACAATATATCATATGATATATGATATATTATACAATATATCATATAAGGTATATATTATATCATATATAATATATAATATAATATATGATATAATATATGATATATGATATATAATATATGATATATGATATATGATATATAATATATGATATATGATATATGATATATAATATATGATATATGATATATGATATATAATATATGATATATGATATATGATATGATATATGATATATGATATAATATATGATATAATATATGATATATATTATATGATATATAATATATGATATAATTTATATGATATATAATATATGATATATAATATATAATATATGATATGATATATATTATATCATATATAATATATAATATAATATATGATATATATTATATATTTTTATACATTATATATATAAACTATATAACAATATAACATATTATGTGTATAATATATATTACATATAGTATAAAATATATTATATTATATTATATTATATTATATTATATTATATTATATTAATGCTGTTTTCATGGGACTGGAAATATGCCCAGTCATGGTTCTTATCATTGTCATCTGTTATGAATCATCATTTCAGCAAGATTGATTGGATTTCTCTCTTAGTTATGTGCCTAATCATTGCTATTTTAGTGTATATTTTCTCTTATTGAGGATAATTCCAATTTCTTAGCTTAAATTTCTCCCTATGATCTAGAAAGTCAAATACCTGTCTTGGATAATACCAGTTATTATCTGCACTTGTGCTGCCTAGAGGCCGAGTCACCATGCAATTCAATCATGAACTTGAACACCTGTTGTTTTCTCTATTTCTACAAACACACCCCTCCTCACACACCCTGTAGAATAGAGCACTTCACTTTCAATGTCAGGCTAGATCATCATTTCTCCAATCTTTTGGACAAAGATTTTAGATTTCTGATTCTCACTTTGGCACTAATCTCAAATGCACATTAAGATTTACATTCAAATGCTCTTTCTATTCATTTTCTTCTTGTTCCATGTGATTTGTAATACTGCGTACTGAGCATTTTGGGTGAATGACCAAGTTAAAGGTATAACTTTTATTACTATCTTTCCTGCTCTATTTTTGTTTTTAGTTTATTCTATACATTTTGAAGTATAGGATGATTTTTCTGAGTGCCTTCAAAAATAAAATATCTTTGCACTATGTAATGACAACTGTAATCAGTGAACTGATTTTGATCTCTCTGGTTTTTATGAAAAACTGGGTATTTATTTATTTAAAGACTTATTTATTTTAAGCAGTGAAACCTATTCTAAAAGATGTGAATAGGCCATCCAGAAGACAGACAAACTTAACATCTAGCAGGTGTTTATCAATGGTCATATTCCTTGACAAGAGTTCCTTACATTTAAGGGTGATCAAGGTAATCTGCAACTTCAATCTACTGTTGTGATGTTTAACTTCCCTACCTGGAGCTCAGTACCCAGAGCTTCCTTTCCAATCTTCTTTGTATTCCCACCCTGAAATCTCAGAACACTTTCTCTGTTCACTAGGGGTCGTACTCAAAAAAGTTACTTCCATAGGTTCTGTTTACAAAGTCCTTCACAAGCCTTTATTCCCTGAATAAACCTCACTTCTATGGGAAGAATAACAAAAGAGTGCTCATCAAATTACTATAATCAGAACACAATCACATTCATTCACTTAATAACTCATTCAGCTCACTATATGTCAGACATTGATGTATGCACTGGAGAATACAGCATAAACACAATTGGAAAAATTTCCTTTCTTCATGGGATTCATAGTCTAGTAAAGGGGTAAGTAAGCAAACAAACATCACAGGTTAAGCTGACATCCAGTTGATCATCTAAAAGCTGACATTGTTAATAATTAACCTCTAAATCTGAGCTGTTCCAGGAAAAATTAAAAGCCTGTTTCCTCTAGTACAAAGAAGTATAGTATGGATCAGGTGATGCCAATATGAATGAAGAAAATGGAAGAGAGTGCGGGGAAAGTGGTGGGCTGCCTCTTTATGAGGGTGTTCAAGAGACATCTACCTGGCGAGACATCTGAAGGTAGTTACAGGGCTGAAGGACTTGAGGATACCTGGGGAAGGGAGCTCCAAACAAAGGGCACAGTAAAAAGAAAGGTGGGAGCTTTGAAAAGCTAGCTCAGCAAAATTTCTACCTTTGAAAATCATACCATGCCTACTCCATGTAGTTTAAATGAATACAATAAAGTTTAAGTGATAATTTTTCATTCACTGAACAGACAACACTGTGCCATCTGTTAGGCAATTGTATAGGCTTTTGGTTCAAAACACATTTCTTTCATCACCTTCTCTGTACCCCCCATATCTCACCTGTGTTACTGCCCAAACCTTTTAATTGGTCTCCTTGCATCTCCCCTTTCCTCCCGTCAGCCTGTTCACGACGCAGCATTCTCTTCTGTCCAGAGCTCTGGCCCTGCTTATCCATTCTACAAGGACAGCATAATTTTTTTAACCTTTAATTTTTTATAATTTCAACTTTTATTTTACATTCAGAGGGTAAATGTGCATGTTTGTTACCTGGGTATATTGCACGATGCTGAGGTTTGGAGTATGGTTGATCTCATGCCCAAATACTGAGCATAGTACCCAACAGTTAGTTTTTTTTAACTCTTGTCTCCTGCTTCCTCCTGATTTAGTAGTCCCCAGTGTCTGTTGCTGCCATCTTTATACCCATGTGTACCCAGTTTTGAGCTCTCATAAGTGAAAACGTGCCGTATTTGGTTTCCTGTTTCTGCATTAATTTACTTAGGATAATGGCCTCCAGCAGCACCTATGTTGCTGCAAAGGACATGAGTTCATTCTTTTTAATGGCTGCGTAGTATTCTGGTATATTTTCTGTATCCAACCCACGAGTGATGGGCACCCAGATTGATTCCATGTATTTGTTATGGTGAATAGTGCTGCAATGAGCATACGAACACATGTTTCTTTTTGGTAAAATGTTTTATTTTCATTTGGATATATAACCAGGGATTGGATTTCTGGGTCAAATGGTAGTTCTATTTTTAGTTCTTTGAGAAATCCCCAAACTGCTTTACACAATGGCTGAACTAATTTACATTCCCACCAACAGTGTATAAGAGTTCTGTTTTCTTAACATCCTCCCTGGCGTCAGTTATTTTTTGATTTTTAATAATAGCTATTCTTAATGGTGTGAGATGGTATCTCAGTGTGATTTTCATTTGAATTTCTCGGATAATTAGTGATAATGAGCATTTTTTCGTATGTTGACACCTTGAATGTCTTCTTTTAACAAGTATCTGTTCTTTTGTCCATTTTTAATAGGGTTATTTCTTTTTTGCTTGTTTGGTTGCTCAAGTTCCTTATGGATTCTGGATATTAGACCTTTGTCACATGCGTAGTTTGTGAATATTTTCTCCCATTCTATAGGTTGCGTGTTTACTCTGTTGGTAGTTTATATTGCTGTGCAGAAGCACTTTAGTTTGATTAGGTCCCACTTATCAATTTTTGTTTTTGTTGAAATTTTGAGGAATTAGTCATATAATGTTTCCTAGATTTTCTTCTAGAATTCTTATTGTTTGAGGTCTTACTTTTTAAATATTTAATCAACCTTGAGTTAAATTTTAATATATGGTGAAAGGTAGGGTTCCAATGTCATTCTTCAGCATATAGCTAGCCAGTGATCCCAGCACCATTTATTGAATAGGGAGTCCTTTCCCCATTGCTTAGTTTTCTTAATTTTGTCAAAGATCAGATGGCTTTAAGTGTGTGACTTAAATTTCAGGTTCTCTATTCTGTTATATTAGTTTGTGTGTCTGTTTTTGTACTGATACCATGCTGTTTTGGTTACTGTAGCCTTATAGTTTGAAGTCAGGTGATGTGATGCCTCAGGCTCTGTTCCTTTTGCTTAGGATTGTTTTGGCAATTCGGGCTCTTTTTTGGTTTCATATGAATTTTGGAATAGTTTTTTCTAGTTCTGTGAAAAATGGCAGTGCTAGTTTAATAGGAATAGTGTTGAATCTGTAGATTGCTTTGGCCAGTATGGCCATTTTAATAGTATTGATTCTCCCAATCCATGAGCATGAGAGATTTTTCCATTTATTTGTGTCAACTGTGATTTCCTTCAGCAATGTTTTTTAGTTCTCCTTGCAAAGATAATTTATCTCCTTGACTAGATGTATTCCTGTGTGTTGTGGTTTTTTTTTTTTTTGCCTATTGTAGATGGGATTGCATTCTTGATTTAGCTCTCAGCTTGCACATTATTGGTGTAGAGAAATGTTACTGATTTTGGAACATTGATTTTGTATCCTGAAACTTTACTGAAGTCATTTGTCAATTCCTGGAGCCTTTTGGAGTCATTAGGATTTTCTAAGTATAGAATCATATCATCAATGAAGAGAGATATCTTGACTTCTTCTTTTCCTATTTTGATGCCTTTTATATCTTTCTCTTACCTGATTACTCTGAACAGGACTTCCTGGCAGGAAAACTTTTACAGGAACTTTCCTGCTTAAGACTGCTAATTATTTCCTCCAACACTCAGCACTGTGAGTCTCTTTGTGCTTCTCTGCTTTTCTTTTCCTCATAGCAGTTATGGATATATAAGTACTAGAAACAATATTTGCCACCTAAAGAAATGAACACTATTTTCTGACACATGGCTGGTAACAATCCATGTACGTCATGTGTCAGGAAATAGTTGTCTCACTGGTATTCAAAAGCCTGAAGACATCACCTATTAGTTCTCTAGGTGAGACAAATATTCCCTTTTTATTATCATTTATGACTTCAGCCTCAACTCTCCACCTCATTTTTAACTTTGTTACTAATTCCAAATGCATGTTCAATTTTGGTAATTTGGACTAAACCATATAGAAAACATGGAAACTTATTGAGTCTTGTTAGATCTAATCTATTTGTGGAAGACAGAAGGGCTTGGCTTGTTTTTTTTTTCCACTGTACTCTCCAAGAACCAGCACAGTACTCAAATTTTTACCACTCTATTAGTGAAAGAATAGATAGATAGACAGATATATAGATGCATATATACATACACTGCTACATACATACACACTTAGAAATATATATATATATATATATATATATATATATATATAGAGAGAGAGAGAGAGAGAGAGAGAGAGAGAGAGAGAGAGAGAGAGACGAAATTATCTTCCCTGGGTTGCATAGAAAAGCAAGCTTAGAAAACATAACTAAACGAAATAATGTTATCATGGCCCTTCGTCTTTCAAAAAGTCATCCCTTTATGTCATGAACCCATTAACTGTTTTTCTATCATTTCATTTTGCCTCTGAAGGAGAGCAAATATTATTCTCTGCAGGGATGAAGTGATTATCAGAACTTTGAAATTCTTTTGGAGAAATTCAAGCTAATGTGTTAATAATAGAAGAAAAAAATAAGGCCTGCTCCATATTCAGGGAATGTGAAATCTGTTGGGATAGACAAGCAGTAGACAGTGAAAGTACAACTTTTCATTAATGCCAAGTATACTTCAAATTTTTATGAAAGCTATTTCATTCATTCTTAAATTGCCATGTACTATTTTGTCCTTAACACACAAGGGACCAAAATTAACCTGACAAGTGCCTAGAAGGAGACACTCATCCCAGATCAGTGTCCCGGTAAATGGAACCGTTCCAGGTGAGGTTTTTACCTAAAGCAAAGTAGCCAGATAATCATTTTTTTTTTTTTTTAAAGAGAATGCAAGCTGAGTCTTTTGAGACAGATGAGTCTGATAATGGAAGATACAAACATTTTCTAAAATCCAATTCTTAAAAATGAGAGGCAATGAAAAACTTCTAAAGGATAGAAACATTGAAATAAACTGGGAATTGCATGTGAATGTTAAAAGCAGAAGAAAGAACTCCGTAAAGATTATCTCCACAAAATCCAGGATGCCTCAAAGTTGCAATTAATTGCAAGTTTTTCAGTTTCTAACCAGTTTAAAGTTCATATTATGGGTCAGAACTGTGTTTCTACTTTTTTTTTTTTTTTTTTTTTTTTGAGACGGAGTCTCGCTCTCGCCCAGGATGGAGTGCAGTGGTGCGATCTTGGCTCACTGCAAGCTCCGCCTCCCAGGTTCACGCCATTCTCCTGCCTCAGCCTCCCGAGTAGCTGGGACTACAGGCACCCGCTATCATGCCCGGCTAATTTTTTTGTATTTTTAGTAGAGACGGGGTTTCACCATGTTAGCCAGGATGGTCTCGATCTCCTGACCTCGTGATCCTCCCGCCTCGGCTTCCCAAAGTGCTAGGATTACAGGCGTGAGCCACCGCGCCCGGCCTCTACTTCTTTTATACATCTTTGTCATATGTATAGAGAGAGGTATGTCTTAGTCATGCCCAGAGAACTGTAGGTAACTTGCAGTTGGTTTAGAATCAGTGTGCTACCTCTATGTTAAAAGTTTAAGAGACTTGCAAGATTTAGTGTTAAAGGTTATTCAATCTGACTCCCATACTGTAGGTGAATTACTGTCCTACAATGTATGGATAAATATGGAAAATAAAGTTTCTATCTTGAAAATCACAGAATACCAGATTTAGAAATGAACTAAAAATACTCATAAATTGTATCTTTTTAAAATTGCAGAATCTTTGGTTACATGGTCTGGATTGATTTTTTGTTATTCAGTTTCCATTTGATCATATCAAGGAGCAAAGATAGCTGATTATTATTCACCACATATTATCAACATTTGCCTCCTGTAATATATCTGAATTGCTCCATGGGAGATTTCTGAGATGACACAGCATATATTATCCTGACAATAGTAATTCAGAGATCTGAACATGTATCTAATGTCTCCTTGGAGTCAGCAATTCACCCAGACGTCCCAGTTCTTTCTATGATTCTACCCATATGTAGGCTTCTCAATCACTTCTCTCTCCTAGGCATTCCCTCACAGGTTTTCAGAATGTCTGCTTCTGTAGCATTTTATCACTCATTCGAGTTATAAGATTTAATCACCAAGAATGATATTCAAGATCATACACATTATTCTATGTGTGTATGCTTGTTTTGATAGTGTGAGGAAATGTAAAAACATTTGTTCTTAGGAGATAATGTCAGAAGTAGATATGTATTCATCTTTCTAATCAAACTCATTAATTACACTGGAGCATATTGGAGGTAGGAAAATAAAATTCTAACAGTTGTTGAAAAAAATGATATTATCTCAAAGTAGAGATACTTTGCCGTAGCTCTAGCATGCTATGAGAGAAAACTACTATGGACTTAAGTGATGAGTCACAAACGGCACTTACTAGTATGTTTTTATACCTTGTAGTACTGCGTACATATTTTGTTGAGATATAAAAACTAAACACCTGTTATCTTGGGGTACAATAAAATGAGAACATTATGAATTGCAAAGTTAGGTAAGATTCAATTTGAGTCTCCACAATAACATTTCCTGGCTGTGTGAAAATAGCCTAGTGAATTAGCCTTTCTGAGTTTTACATATTTAAAAGAGAAAAATAGCACTAGCCTAAGATTGGAAATGTATAAATAGAGTTAATATTTAAATTAGTCACACATAGGAGAGAGCACATAGTAAAATTCTATTGTATCTGATATAATGTTTGCAACCCTAAATTTTCTTTTTTACGTCTTTAATATTTCTTTGAGCATTTATATATATGACTGCATACAGACACAAAGTTATTATACATGATGCCAGCATACAACATACAATGTAAGAAAAGTATAAAATACAATATTTTGTGTATAACTCCCCAAAAGTTGTTAATAAGACTTTGATTTAGACATGAATTTGGAATATATAAATTCACTATTTATTACCATTAAAAAATAACTTGAAAGTAACAGCCATTAACCGTATTAGGGAGCTGAGTTACCCAACTGACAAAATGATTCAGTTATATATATAATTATATGTAATTCAATGAAGTGATATAATGAAATGATATAATATGAGTATGCTAAATGAATAAGTGAAAAAAACTATGCCACAATTAATAAACATATAAATCCTGGAAGTAAATTTCCTTCACAAAAAACAGAAATTTTCCTTTCTTGCTTTTAAGGTGTAAGCACACTTTTAGACAGTTTTACATTAAGTGAGAAACCACTTCTTCAACCAGATTAGGGGAATCATGCCTAGAGATTAATGGAGTGGCAAATGTTTTAGTCATAGCTCTTTCGTATGAATTATATTCCCAATTCAGTCACTGAATTCTGTGCAGACTTGGACAAGTAATTTAACCGTGATGATCTTCAATTTTCTTAGATATTTTATGGAGAAAATAAACTCACCAGTACAACACCTCATTTAAATTTCCTTAAAGAATGTAATAAAGTAATATACATGAATGGGTATTGAGAATTTAAATTGGCTATAAAATATCAGATGCCATGTAATCATGAGAACAGAATATTTAATAAATGTGCTCTGATGACTGCTTATTCACATGGAAAAATCATATTACATTTCTGCCTAACATCCTTAACAAAAATAAATTTTAGTAATGTTAAAACAAGCTAAAAGAAAAAAAAATTTAACATTTTAGTATGATAAAACAAATTTAGACACGTACTTCTAGGAAAGATAAAGTAATACAGATTTAACCACTTGAGACACACACACGCACATGCACACACACACACACACACTCAGAGACAAAATATAGGACATGATTATTTTCAAAACACTGGACAGCAGGTAATACAGGACATTGATCCTTGAGGAATAGGAAACAAATAAAGTGAGTCCCATGAATGCCCTAAATTATTGTCTTACTAGAATTATCAGACTATGGTACAGGGAAGAAAAACCCAGGCAGAATCCATCAGACTCCTAGAGTTGAAGAGAAAGAGCAGAGAGTCTAGGAAGACTGTAGTGGCTAAAATTGTTTTAATCCAGTGAAATATGGATTGCACAGGTACAATAGAACTGTGTCCACTTATGTGCATAGAAGCATTATTCACAATAGCCAAAATGTGGAAGCAACCAAGGGGTTCATTGACAGATAAATGAATAAGCAAATATGGTCAATACATAAAATGAAATACATATAAAATTAATATTTTATATATATTTGAAAAAGTATATAATATATAATATATAAAATAAAATATAAATATATAAAATGAATATATGATATTCATTTGAATATAAAATGAAATATACATAAAATGAATATACATTTAAATAGTAAGGAAATTCTGACACATGCTACAATATGGATGAACCTTGAAAACATTATGCTAAGTAAAACAAGTCAGCCATACATAAAAGGACAAATAGTGTGATTCTACTTATTTGAGGTTGCTAGAGAAATTAAAATTAGAGAGAGAAAATAGAATGGTGGTCCCCAGGGACAGAGCAGAGGAAGAAACAGGGTTTGTGTTTAATGGATACAGAGTTTGTTTTGCAAGAAGAAAAAGTTCTGAAGACTAGTTGTACAACAAAGTGAGTGTAAGTGATACCATATGTATTAATTCACAAGGTGAATGTAATTGATATTCACAAGGTGAATGTAATTGATACCATAACTTAAAGATGTTTAACATGGTTAATTTTGTTATATATATTTTACCGAAATAAAAATTAAAAAATAAGCAAACATAACAGATAGTATAACGTTTCCTGTATAGCACAATATTTCCTTTAAAGCCAGGCTGGCTTAACATTAAAAAAATTAACATATTCACAAAATAAAAATTAAATCAACCTAAATATTTATAGGCTTAAAAAGCACCTAATTGCAATAGAAACAGAAAAAATGACAACATTCAACATTCGTTATTGATATTATTCAGCTAAGTGGAAATACAATGAACTTTTCTCAGCCTGATATAAGGTATCAATGATCAGCCTACACCTAGCATCATATTTAATAGTAAAAGTTGATTTTTCTTTTCTAATGTCAGCAATAAGGTAAGGATGCCTGCTCTAAGCACTTCTATTCAATATTTTAGGAGAGTTTCTAGCCAGTATAATAAAACAACAAAAAGAAACATATTGCATCCAGGTTTAAAAGTCAGATGAAAAATTGTCTTTATTTGTAGATGACATGATCATGTATGTGGAAATACAATAAAATCTACAAAAACTTGTAGAACTTATAAATGAGTTTAACAAGATTACAAGATAAAAATTAATATACAAGTTGACAAGTTGTATTTTTATATACTAGCAATAAAAAAGGAATAGAATGTAAAGAATAATATGGTTTTTAATAACATCAACAACAAAATATTTAAGTATAAATATTACAACATATGTGAATATTACAAAATATTGAGGTAAAAAAACGAATAAATGGAGACTTTTACCACATTCATGAGTTAGAAGTCTAATTATTGCTAAGATGTCAAGTCCCCCCAATAGATCTATTGATGTAGTTCAATTCTGATCAATATCTCAGCAGACATTTTGTAGGAATTGACAAACTGATTCTGAAATTCAAATGGAAATGTAAAAGAGCCAGAATAGCTAAAATAGCTTTGAAAAAGAAGAATGAAGTTGGAGAACTAAAATGACTTCATTCCATGGTTTATTATAAAGCCACAGTTATCAAGATAAAATGATAGTGGCCTTAAGTTATACTAACCAATCAATGGAACAGAATGGAGCATCCCATAATATTGCCACACATATATGGTCAACTCGTTTAATTGGAGAAAGTATAATCTTATCAACAAATTGTGCTAGAATAATTAGATACACGTTTGAAAATAAAATATTGAACTAGCAATTTCAATCTATGTTTAACACTGTATAGAAAAATTATTTTAAAAGAGATCCTGTACCTAAATGTAAAATTTGAAACTTGAAGAAAATGTAGAAAAGAAATTTTTGAGTTAAGTATTTCTACTTATGACACCAAAAATCATGATCCATAAAATTAAAAATTACATACTTATATGTGTGTGTGTAAAGACATGTACTTATATATGTGTACATATATATTAAACTCTTTAAGAATAAAAACTCCTGCCTTTTGAAAAGCATTAAGAGAATGAAAAGTCAAGCCACAAAGTTAAGGAAGCAACTTTTAAGTCACATGTTTAATAAAGATTTTTGTATTCAGATTCCATAAAATACTTTAAAGGTATGATAATAACCTGATAAAATGATTGGCAAAATGTTAACAGAGACATCACTAAATCAGATATAAATAAAAATGACAAATAAGCACATGAAAAGATGCTTAATCTCATTAGTCATTAGGGAAATAGAAATTAAATTACAGTATATAATTTATTAGACGCAAAATTTACAAATGTACCACTACACACTTACTAGAATGTTCAAAGTTCAAGACTGATGACACCAAGTGTTGCTAATGTTGTGGAACTTCTGCAGTTTTATACACTATGGTTGGTTATGTGAAATATTACTACTATTTCAAAAGTGGTTTGATTGCTTCTTTAAAAATTAGGCATGTATGTACCATGTGATCCAGCCATTTCACACTTAGGCATTCAAGCAAAGGAAAAGAAAGCATATGTCCATACAAAAACTTGTACATTGTTCATGAATATTCACAGCAGCTTCATTCAAAATACCTCCAATCTAGAAACAGTCCAAATATCTATCAAAAATGAATGAATGAACCAATGGTGTTATATTTATAAGTGAATACTATTCAGCAATGGCAATAAATCACTATTGACACACAATATCACAGACCTCTAAATAATTATTGTGAGTAAAAGAAGAGAGTAATATGATTTCATTTAAATGAAGTACTTTTGAAAAAGACATCCTAATTGACAATTTAAAGCAGATCAAAATTTGCCTGGAAACGTGGGTAAAGTTAGGAGAAAATATAAATGGTCACAGTGAAACTTTTGGTGTGATGTAGATGCTCATTATCTTGATTTTGGTGGTGATTTTATGGGTGTGTACATATGTCCAAACTTATCAAATTGTACCCTTTACATATATGTAAAGTTGATTTCATGTCAACTATATCCCAATAAAGCTCTTAAATAAAAAATTAATGTATGTAGAAGGAATATAATATGTAAAATAGAAAATTACTGCAGAGTCCCATGAATCTAATCAGGGCAGGCAGTAAAGATTTCTTACATAATAAAGAAATTGCAAACAGTGAGTGAAGGACATTGTGGATGGAACTTACATGTAAACATCTAATCCAACCTCTAGTGTAGATCTGAACAGAAGTTTAAAGACAAAATGATTGAGTGAAGCCACAGCCCTACCTGTTTTTAGAAACCATAAGCTTTGGAGAAGTTTATTACAGATAAAATTTTTAAAAGAAATGACAGTAAAGAGAAACTGAAATGGATATAAACCTGAAATTTCAGAGAATTGCCCTCTGCAAAACTGATTTAGTATTTTAATTAGAATAACTTTTTACAAGAAGTTTTTCTCTTCAGCGGAATGAAAGAAGTTACAAATGTCATCAAAGAGAATCAGACATCGATAATGACAGAAAAAAACGGGAAAAACAGCAGTATCAAAAGTGCAAAGAAACAGGTGAGATAAACATAAAACACAAAATAAAAGCAGAACTAAAAGTTTCAATGAAGGTTTAATGAGAGGAATTAAAATTTCAAAATACATCAAATTAATGATGCGGATGACACAATAAACTCGTTAAGAATCAGAACAACATAAAAATTTGAAAATAGTGGGATGATCAATGAGGAGAACATAGAAAATAAATTTAATCAGTGGCTAGAGTAATTCATCAGGAAGAAAAAATAGTGTGTATACAAGGATCAAAATTAATACTATTTGTAAAAATTACAAAAATCAAAACATACCCAGGTATAGAGATCAAAACTATTGACTGTATTACTAACAAAATTATAAACAGAAACCCCAGCAAAAATATCCTATGTATATTTGAAATTTTAGGTCAAAAATAAAATAATTTAATGTGCAGCAATTAAAAAATAAAAGTCTGTCTTTTAAAACCGAAATTGACTACATTTTCTCTGCTGTTAAACTTCTTTGTTGGAAACAAAATATTGGTAGCTGACTAAATGAATGGACCATTTCTGGATGAATATTAGAAGCTTTAAGTATTTGTTTGATGCTTGGGAGAAAAAGCTTGGAGAACAATAGAAAAAAAGAAATATGCAATTTTAAAAATAAGATTTACATAGCTTGATACAAGAAACTCTCAAGGATAGTAGTGGGTAGGAAAATGCTCAAATTTATGAGCACAGATACAAATAATCCAAAGAGAATATTAGCAAACTGGATTCAGCAGCACATAACAGATATAACACTTACTGATTTCCCCCATCCCTAAAGATTCTATTTAGTCCTCAAAAAAAAAAAAATCATTCTCCACATTAACAGATTAAAGATAAAAACATCAAAACCTTAAATCAGTGCATACAGAAAGGACAAATAATATTGAAGATCTATTTACGATAAAAAATTTTCAATCCTAGAGAAACTTCCTTAATCTGATAAATTTATTAAAAACTATAGCAAATATACTTACTGTTAAAATGCTAATAATTTTTCCTGTGAGAGAGAAAAGACAAAAATATGTGTTATTGCTTGTTTTATTTAATTTTGGGCCAGAGTTCCAAGTTAGCATGAAAGTATTCAATTAAAAATAATTTAAACGGAATAAATAATACTGTGATTATTTGCAGATGGTGATGATACAAATAGAAAATGTATAATACCTAAAATATATATTTTTAGAATTAAGAATTTAGGAAATTTTCTAGGTAAAAATATCAATATATTAAAAATCATTATATTTTGGTATATTAGAAACAAATGAAAAACAGTAATGATATTTTTGAAAAAGACTAAAATGTAAGGACTTACCTTAGAATTTATGCAGACTTACCATAAAGCTCTATAAATAATTATGATACTATAGTATTGGTGAAAAAATGCACAAATTGACAAATCAAACATCATATTCAGGCTTTAAAATTCACCCACACATACATGATATATGGAGGTGGCATTTTGGGGAAGGGAGAAATGTATGGTGCTAGGATCACTCAGATCATAATAAATGATTTTAAGTGAACTAAAGGCATAGATAAAATTGTAAATATTATTTTTTTAATTTGGAAATTTATTTCTTATTTTTAAAATTGTTACGATTTAGGCATTAACATTGGGATTTCAAATTTAAGTTTCTTTTTTTATGGTCCATAATTTTTTAACTTTTATTACAAGTTGAGGGGTACATGTGCAGGTTTGTTACATAGGTAAACTTGTGTCATGGGCTGGGGAGGGGGGTAGGGTTGTACAGATTATTTCATCACCCAGGTATTAATCCAAGGACATATTGTTATTTTTCCTGATCCTCTCCCTCCTCACCCTCCACCCTCTGATAAGCCCCAGTGTGTGTTGTTCTACACTATGTGTCCATGTGTTCTCATCGTTTAGCTCCCACTTATAAGTGAAAACATGCAGGATTTGGTTTTCTGTTTCTATGTTAATTTGCTAAGGATAATGGCCTCTAGCTCCATCCATGTCTCTGCCAAGGTCATGATCTCCTTCTTTTTTATGGCTGCATAGTATTTCATGGTATATATGTAGCAGATTTTCTTTATCCAGTCTATCATGGATGGGCGTTTAGGTTGATTCTATGTCTTTGCTATTGTGAATAGTGCTGCAGTGAACATACAACTGAATGTGTCTTTATAGTAGAGTGGTTTATATTCCCTTGGGTATGTGCCCAGTAATGGGATTGCTGGTTTGAATGGTGTTTGACGTATTTAGGAATTGCCACACTGTCATCCACAATGGTTGAACTAATTAACACTCCCACCAACAGTGTATAAGCATTCCTTTTTCTCCACAGCCTCACTAGCGTTTGTTATTTTTTGACTGTTTAGTAATAGCCATTCTGACTGGTGTGAGATAGTATTTCATTGTGGTTATGATTTGCATCTCTCTAATGATAGTGATGTTGAGCTTTTATTCATATGATTGCTGGCGGCAAGTATGTCTTTTTTTGAAAAGTGTCTGTTTATGACCTTTTCATACTTTCTTGTAAATTTGTTTAAGTTCCTTGTAGATGCTACATATTAGACCTTTGCCTGATGCATAACTTTCACAAATTTTCTTCCATTCTTTATGTTGTTACCTGTTTGTTTACTCTCTCTTTTTTTTTTTTTTTTTTTTTTTTTTTAGATAGCGTCTAGCTCTGTCTCCCAGGCTAGTGTTCAGTGGCACAGTCTTGGCTCACTGTAACTTCCACCTCGGTGGTTTACATGATTCTCATGCGTCAGCTTCGCAAGTAGCTGGGATTACAGGCGTGCATTACCATTCCCAGCTAATTTTTTGTAATTTTAGTAAAGATGGAGTTTCACTGTGTTGGACAGGCTAGCCTCAAACATCTGGCCTCAACTGATCCATTCGCCTTGGACTCCCAAAGTGTGAGGATTATAGGTTTGAGCCACTGCGCCTGGCCCTATTTACTTTGTTTATAGTTTCCTTTGCTTATGGTTTCCTTTGCTGTTCAGAAGCTCTTCAGTTTCATTAGGTCCCATTTGTCAATTTCTCAATTTTTACTTTTGTTGCAGTTGCTTTTGATGTCTTTGTCATGAACTCTTTCCTGTGCCTATGTCCTGAATGGCATTGCCTAGGTTGTCTTCCAGAGTTTTTATAGTTCAGAGTTTTACCTTTAAGTATTTAATCTATATTGACTTAATTTTTGTTTGTGGTGTAAGAAAGGGGTCCACTTTCAATCTTCTGCGTATGGCTAGCCAGTTATCCCAGCAGTATTTATTGAATAGATCTTTTCCCCATTTCTTGTTTTTGTCTGCTTTGTCAAAGATTAGATAGTTGTGGGTATGCTGTCTTATTTCTAGGGTTCTCTATTCTGTCCCATTGGTCTAGGTGTCTGTTTCTATACCATTACCATGCCGTTTTGGTTATTGTAGCCCTGTAGTATAGTTGGAAGTGAGTTAGCATGATGCCTCCAGCTTTGTTCTTTTTGCTTAGAATTGCATTGGTTATGCGGCTTTTTTTGTTACATATATTTTACAAATTAATATTGCGGAATATTATTATAATGTTAAATACATTACAAAAATTATTAACCATGAAAGAAAAGACATATATTTAACTATATTTAAATTAAGAGATTTAGTTTATCCTTAGATACCAAACACCCAGTGAAAATCACAATGATCTGTAACAAACATAACCAACAAAATTTCAGCATCCAGATGTATAACGACCTCCAACAATTAAATAAGAAAAAGCTCTAAAAACCAAAAGAAAATTGAGAAATTTAGATTTAATTGGCACTTCATGATAAAAAAGAAATATCTTCCAGATATCAGCTGTTCATAAATCTACAGTAATTAGAAGGCTGTGTTTTTCACGTAAGACACAAATGCTATGTGAACAGGAGAGTGGCCCAGGGAAAGACCCGTTTACCTGTGGACTCTTGACTTATTACATAGGCTGCATTGCAAAGTAATTAGGCAAGGACAGACTTTTCTACAAAAGAAGCTGGGACAATTGTGTGTGAACAGAAAGAAAACAACAAAACTTTAAATGTGGAAGACAAAAAGGAATTACTTTCTGATGATATTATTACAGAGTAGGTTAAGTAATTCAGTATGGGGAAAGCTTTCTTAAACATTACAAAAATACTAACCATAAAAACAAATGTTGATAATTTGACTAGATTAAAAGTGTGAACTTCTATTAATCAATAGGATCATTTAAGAAAGAAAGTCAGCCTTCAAAGTAAGAAAGTCACTCATAGTGGTTACATCACTCTTAAGTAACCATCATTTGTCTGACAATGAATTCAAATCTAGACATATAAATCATCTCAACAAAAAGCTAAATGATCAAAAATGTGCATGAGAGTTGAAATGTTTATTAAGAAGTAAAGCTAAATGATTAACAAACATATAAATATTATTAACCCCATTAGTCATTACATAATTGCAAATTAAAACCTTAATGAGGTAACAAATCTGCCACATTCTTAAAAATTTTAAAGTTAGGCATAACAAGTATTTTAAAAAATGAAGCAAAGAAATTTTCATACCCTGCTGATGGAAATGTAAACCTGTAGAACTACTTTGGAAAAGTTTGGCATTGTCTGGTCCTGTCAAGATATGCATACTCTATGATATAAATATTTGCAACACCTGTTGTTACACAGGTGTTACTTTGATATTTTTTCTTTAGCCTGCGCATCTATGATGCATGTAAACTTCATTAGTATGATTAATCTCATAACAGAAGCAGGAATCAAAGCTATCATTGTCTTATTGTAACACTCTGTCATTAGGAATAGATGTCTATCGTTTTTCATTCTCTTTTTATATCTACCTATGGCCATGGTCCAAATGCTGTGACAAAAGGATCAATTAGCCCACTATGGGTCACAGGTCCTCTTGTGCGGAGGAGGGTAGCATTCCTGATGAAAGTCTCAGCCAGTATAGAATTTTACAAAACAATTGTTCAATTGTTAAATAGAGAAAATTGAGTTAATAGCCATCAATAAGTAAATATACACTAGACTCTCTCTTCTTGTTTGTACTTCAAAGAAATTCATATATTAAAATTAAAAATAGAAAAGACAATCTCTGTATAGCAAAGACTCAGAAAAGTGCTATAAGTCAGCTGAAAGAGTGATGAGTCAAACACTTCCACCCCTCATTCCCAAACATTTCTACTCTGGCTATGGGAGAAAGAGTGCCATATATTCTTTGCTATTTTAAAGCATATATTGCATCAACTGTGGTAGAGTCCTATTTTTCATGGTGTTTGCTCTGGACTGAGCAAACCCATAACTGAGTTTTCAGAAAGTCATCCCATGAATTGCTTCTCATTTATGTGGTGCATGGTGTAAAGACTCACCTCTTAACCACAACGGAGTCAAGCTCCTCACTGCGCTCTTTTTCACTAGGCCTTGACCTTGGTCCACAATCTCCTGGGCCTGCAAAGCTCAATTTTAAGGAAAATCCTGCTGTCAGTTTACAGACCATCATCCACCCTTGATGTCTAATCACCCTGGATATCTGATTAAATTTCTCGTCCCTCACCATCCCTCAGGCAATACCCGATCACCCTAGCTTGCGTTCAGCAAGAATCCTATTTGGTCCTCAGGGGTTAGTAAGAATGCCACTACACTTGATGTCTCCTCTTAGCAATTTTCTTTTTTTCCTTTTTTTTTTTTTTTTTTTTTGAGACAAAGTCTCACTCTGTCACCCAGGATGGAGTGCAGTGGCGTGATCTCAGCCTTCCGAGTTCAAGTGATTCTCCTGCCCCAGTCTCATGAGTAGCTGGGATTACAGGCACGCACTACCACGGCCGGCTAATTTTTGTATTTTTAGTAGAGACAAGGTTTCACCATGTTGGTCAGGCTGACCTCAAACTCCTGACCTCGTGATCTGTGCACCTCGGCCTCCTGAAGTGCTGGGATTACAGGCGTGAGCCATCACGCCCAGCTGTCTTAGTAATTTTCTGTCCATTGACCCTTCATTCTGCTTGTTCCTTGGAAATCTCTACTTGTTTTTGTTTGTTCAGTTAGGCTCCATCTTTCTCTCCTACTGTGATAGTTTTGACATCTATCATGAGAGCCCTGAATGAAGTCTTCCTTACAGTTTTAACAAGTGTCAAAATAATTTTTTCTTTAACTGTGGTGACCATGAATCTCTCACTCTTTTCCTTTGAACCAATCCACAACTGAATAGACACATCTGGGGGCATATCTGAGGAGCACTGCAAAATCACTACCTGAAAGAAATCATTATACACACACATAGTGGTTACATCACTCTTGAGGCAAAAAGAAAAAATCTGAGTTATGAGAGAATGAAGTGACATTGAATTGTGGGCAGAGTAGGGGCAAGGAACTGCTGTTACTTCTGTCTTTTGCCTTTGTATCCACGCCCAGATAAATAAATCCAATTTTTGGCTGATTATATGGTATAAAGAGAACAATTAGGTCAAAACACAAGATCTGTGGGCCAGACTCAGTTCATACATTTGCAAGTTGGGGTTTATACCCTGATTTATATAAACAAGAATCCAGAAACAGAGGCTAGTATTATGGCCACAGTGAACAGAAACATATTTGACTTGGCCCATTTCAGCTGCCTGAGGTTCCCCAGAGTCCCAGATGGAGATGTGCAGCTGGCATTAACAGAGTCTGTGCAAGAGTGACCTTGCTGATTTCAAGATACTTAACTTTTGCTGTGCCACTTGCCTTTTATGCTTAAAGCATATACCATCATTCAGAAAGGATTTATGTAAGCTAACCATGCACTTAATTTTTTTCTGTTTAAGAAAATATCTGTAAATAGTCCAACTCAAAATCAGCAAAAACATATTCTTAGCCTGCATGAAAAGCAGTCACTAAATCTTTAGTTGTCCTTGACTATTTTTTGTAATATTGGATTTCTGTTACCCTGGTCTTACTACAATGACTGTAGGGAACTTCCACTTCAACAGTGAGAAACCTGACTCTCACCATCTGACTAAAAACGTTTGATAAAGCCGGTCAAAAGGAAATTTTAAAGTGAAATTATTTGCTGTTTTCAGGAGATGCAACTAAAATAAATTAATATAATTAAATGAAAACAGTGAAACAATGATTTGTAATGTAAAAATCAAATGATAAAATGTTTGAGTGATAATATTTACATCATAAAAATATAAGTAAAGAAAAAGCATGAAACAGCATGAACTGGATCTAGTTATATTGACAGTATATCTAATATACATATTACAATTTGATCAATATTTGAGTTTCTATATTCCAATAATAATATAAGGAGAAATGGCCCAAAACCCAGCTAATTTTGGAAATATTAATATGTCCCTCTTAATTGTTGATATATCAAACAAAAGCAGTAAACATAGATATTTTTTAAAAATGGAGAAACCTCTACACCTAGAAAATGCACAAAGAATGTCTTGATGTGAAAGAAAAAGAAACAATAAGCATCTAGGCAAAACAGAACTTTTATATAGGATGAAAAATTAGTCAGGAGATAATATGCCAGATTTTAGCAACATATGCAGAGTTTTTAGAGAAAATCTTTCTGTTCCAAGAATTTTACACTCTGCCAACCTGTCATTCACATGCATGAAGACAGCAAAAAGACATATATGCTTTCTGTGGACTTAATTTTCCTAATTTTTATGTTTTTTTGGATGATAGACTGAACAGATGCTGGATTTGCCCATTTTTCACCACAAGCCAAAAAATGACAGAAAAGGTATTTTTTTAAGTGAGTTAATGAGTGCATCACAGCTATCACAAACATAAAAGATAATTTTCTGCAGTGAAGATATGTGATGTATATCCAGAAGGCCAAACACAATGAGACATCATGGATCCCATCATCCTTAGCTACCTTACAAAATGTCAACATGCATGACCTACACAATTTTTCTTGGTAAGTCAATGTTTACCGGACATTAAAAAAAGAGCAACAAAAAACATAGACAAAATGAAAGCTAAATACAAATTGCCAAAAATTTGTGCCAAAAGGAAATAAAAAGGAACATGCAAAACTGTTTAAAAATCAATATTGATACCCTACATGTCTAAAGTTATAAAATGAGGCCAAAAATGGTACACCAAGAGGGGGCCACAGGAAAGGTACCCTTTTTAATGTACTAATTAGTAAAGAATGCATTGAGGCCAGAATTTACCTTTATTAGCTCATGTGTATAAAAACATAACTTTCTCGGTTTTTTTCTAAAGGGCCTTACTTTTTTATAGCCCCCATTCACTATGGTGGTAGTTAAAAATTTGAACTTGCGAGCCTCTTACAGAAGTTTATATCTAAGCCTTGCCATTTTCTAATTGTATAATCTTGATAAATTTCTTTGTGCCTGTTTCCTCATTTTTAAAACAAGGATACTCCTCATAGTTACCTACTTCCTGTGGTAATTGTTAGGATGAATGAGTTGGTATAAATAAAACACTTAGAATTTTATCTGTTCCATAGTTAGTGTTATATAAGTGTTAGATACTTACTTTTAAAATGTATGTATCTTACATTAGAAGCCAAATATTCATAAATTTTCCAATTAAATGTAGAGAAAGCCCTTCTGTTTTAAAGCAGTCTCATTGAGGTTAATTACATAGTCCCTTCAGAGGTCATACTCCCTACTGAGATTATTCTATTATTCTCAAGTTTTCTAATATCTACTTCATCTTGGTGGGCATAAAAAGTTGTATTAATCTTCACAGTCACAAAACTTTTGATCCACAAGCTGTTTCTAACATCTCATTGGCCACTGCTGAAATGCCCCCTTTTCTACCCAGCTTATTAATATCTTATATTGGTACCTGCTGAAGTCCTACTTATTTCTTTTTTGGTATCTTGCTCATACATTTGACTAAATTTAAAGATTTGTAATAAAACTATTGTCAGGCGCTCCAAATTCTGGACTTCTTTCATTCTGACCCCACACCTTTTCTAGGATATGAATTTTCTCAGTTTATTTGCGCTTACCTAGGACATGGCTTTTTGATTCTCTATTCACTTTCTGGGACTCCGAATACATGTATGTTAGAACTTTTGGATGTTCTGTACTTTTTAAAAATTTTTTCCATAGTCCTTGTTTTTGTCTTTCAGCTTTGATGTTGTATAATGATTTATCTCAAAGTTTCTTGTTTGTCTCCTTAGCTGTGTCCAACTTTATCACTTTCAAGGGAATTCATTATGTCTAGTAACATTTTAAAAAATTTTAGAGTTATCATTTGACTCAGTTTCATATTTTTTATTAGTGTGCTCTGATTCCTTTTTTTTGTCCACAAATGCTATCCTTCTTTTCCACTAGATTTCTTAGTATGTTAGTCACAGTTATATTTAAATTCCTGTCAGTTTTAACAACTTAGCCACATCTGAGTTTGATTTAGTTGACTACTTTATCTCTTAATAAGTTCTTTTATTCTTCTGTGTAATTTTTCCCTTAATTTCGAACTGACTGCTTAAAAGGTAGATACTGATATACAAAGTTTTCATGTCTTAAAATAGACAACTGTTTTCTTCTATCAGGCCATTAATGTTGAAAACTGAGTTAATATACTATTAGTAATTGTTTGAATTGATATTGAGTTTTTTTGATGTTTAGTCCCCTTCAGACCAGCCCACAGACATCACATTTCTCCAGGACTAGGTTGCTATTGCTTGGTGTGAGGGTGGAATTATCTGGTGCATTTTCTAGTATTTCTCAGTTACCTTGATTCAATATCAGTCCAAGAAGGCTCTGTATTTTGTCTTTGAGGGTTGGATTTTTCAACACTTCTGCCTATTACCCCCAAAGATGAGAAACTCTTTCGTACATTTCTAAAATCTCCTGTGCAAAGAGCTCTCTGCTTCACATCCAGCTATAGGAACTCTGCCTTGTTTGCTGCAGAATCCTAAGACTTTGTCTTGCATCTTGGATACCAGCTCAGCCACAGCAAGACAGGGCACTAGAGTCATGAGGTTTCTTTCTGAAAACCTGGCTACTGGATGACATATCTAAACACAGCATGGGCCTGAAGGGAGCCTTCTGCCTTGAAGGGAAGAACCCAGTCTTGACAGCATTCATCATCTGCAAAATGAAGCATTCTTGGGTCCTGAATAACCAGCAGTGATAAGCAGGTACTATGTTAAGGGTCTGGGGTGAGACTATGAGACCTGCTGGCTTCATGTGAGACTCAGCAGATTTCCACCTGTGGTGGATATGGGGTAAGAATCCTACTGCTTGAGAAAGAGGAGAAAAAAGTAAAGGTAACTTTGTCTTAAACCTTAGGTACCAGCTCTGCCACAGAGGGGTAGAGCATCAAACAGGGTCTTGGGATTCCCAATTCCAGGATATAGCTCTTGGACAGCATTTCTGGATAGCATTAGAAGGGAGTTCACTGCCCTCAGGGGTGAGTCTCAGGCCAGGAGCATTCACACCATGAACTGTCTGAAGAGCCCTTGGGCCCTAAGGGAGCATTGGCAGTAGTCAGTAGTACTCCTTGTGGGTCTGTGGTGGTGGTGCTAACTATAGGGTGAGACTTCTCTGTCTTTAGAAAGGGGAGGGAAGAGTGGGAAGGACTGCATCTTGTGATTTGAGTGCCAGCTCAGCCACAGTACAATAGAACATAGAACACCAGTAGACTTCTAAGGTTTCAGACTTCAGTCCCTGGCTGTCTAATGGAGGGCAACCCTGGACCTGCCCAGGGCCTGGAGGAACTCACCAAGTGGAAGGTAAAGACACAGCCCTGGATGGCTTTGCACCCGCTGATTGTAGAGCCTCAGGGCCCTAAGCAAACATAGGCAGTAGCAGGTAGTGGTTATAGCAGGCCTTGGGCAAGAACCTGCTGGCTTCAAGTCTGACCCAGAGCTGTCCTAGTGGTGGTGACTACAGGAGGGCTTGGGTTTCTCTACCCTCAGCTTTAGGTGGTTCAGAACAGAGAAAAAGGGACTTCATTTGTTTGGGAAAAAGTAATGGAAAAGAACAAGAATTCTACCTGGCAATTGAGATAATTCTTCCAGATCTTGATCAAGAAAATCAAGGCGGTTCCTCTATGAATCTTCAAAAACAACAGTGTTACTGGTCCTGGGGTAGCTCCTAAAGCAGATACAGCTTAAGTTAAAACATCTAATTCCTTTTGAATATCTGAAAAGCTTTCCCGAGAAGGACAATCGCAAACAAGCTCAGACTGCAAAGAAAACAATAAATACCTAACTTCAATGCCCAGACACAAATGAACATCTATAAATATTAAGACTATCCAGGAAAACATAACTCCACCAAATTAAGTAAATAAGACACCAGGGACCAATCTTTGTGAAACAGAGATACATGACCTTTTGGACAGAGAATTGAAAATAGCTTTATTGAGAAAACTCAAAAAAATTCAAGGTAACACAGAGAAGGAATTCAGAATGCTGTCAGGTAAATGTAACAAAGAGATTGACAAAATTAAGAAGAATCGAGCAGAAATTCTCGAGTGGAAAAACACAATTGATGCATTGAAGAATGCATCACAGTCTTTTAATAGCAGAATTGGTCAAGCAGAAGAATGACTTAGTGAGCTTGAAGACAGGATATTTGAAAATACAGTCAGAGGATAAAAAAAGGAGAAATAATAAAAAAACTACGAAGCACACCTACAGGATCTAGAAAACAGCTTCAAAAGGGCAATCTAAGATTATTGATCTACCAGATGAGGTAAAGAAAGTGTGAGGGGTAGAAAGTTTATTCTGAGAGATAACAATGGAGAATTCCCCAAAACTAAAGCAAGATATCAATATGTAAGTAAAGGAAGGTTATAGAACACCAAGTGTATTTAACCCAAAGGAAACTATATCAAGGCACTTAATAATCAGACTTTATTTGTCCATTCTTACACTGCTATAAAGAACTGCCTCAAACTGGGTAATTTATAACAAAAACAGGTTTAATTGACTCACAGTTCTGCATGGCTTGGGAGGCCTCAGGAAACTTACAATCACGGTGGAAGGAGAACAGGTACATTTTACATGGCAGCAGTCAAGAGAGAGTGTGTGTGTATAGGAAAAACTGTTGAACACTTACAAAACCATCAGGTCTCCTAAGCACTCACTATCACAAGAACAGCATGGGGGAAATAGCCCCCATGATCCAATCACTCCCATCAGGTCCCTCCCTCAACACATAGGGATTATTGGGATTACAATTTGAGATGAGATTTGGGTGGGGACATAGAACCAAACCATATTGTTCTGTCCCTGGCCCCTCCCAAATCTTATGTATTTTCACATTTCAAAACCAATCATGACTTCCCAGCAGTCCCCCAAAGTCTTTATTCATTCTAGCATTAACTCAGAAGTCCACAATCCAAAGTCTCATCTGAGAAAAGGCAGGCCCCTTCTGCCTATGAGCCCATAAAATCAAAAGCAAGTTACTTACTTCCTATATAAAATGGGGATACAGGCATTGGGTAAATACATGTATTTCAAATGGGAGAAATTGGCCAAAACAAAGGGGATACAGGCACCCTGCAAGTCCAAAATCTAGCGGGGCAGTCATTAAACCTTAAAGCTCCGAAGTAATCTCCTTTGACCCCATGTCTCACCTCCAGGTCACACTAATGCAAAGGGTCGGCTCCCGCAGTCTTGGGCAGCTTTTCCTCTGTGGCTTTGCAAGGTACAGCTCCCATCCCAGCTGCTTTCATGAACTGGCTTTGAGTGTCTGTGGCTTTTCCAGGCAAATGGTGCAAGCTGTTAGTGGATGCACCATTCTGGGGTCTGGAAGATGGTGGCCTCTTCTCACAGCTCCAGTAAGCAGTGTCTTAGTGGGCACTCTGTTTGGGGACCCAACCTCACATTTCCCTCCTGCATTACCCTAGCAGCGGTTCTCCGTGAGGGCTCCCTTAGTAGCATACATATTCCTGGATAGGCAGGCATATTCATACATCTTCTGAAATCTACTCAGAGGTTTTCAAACCTCAGTTCTTCACCTCTGTGCACCTGCTGGCCCAACACCACATGAAAACAGCCAAGGCTTGGGGCTTGCACCCCCTGAAGCAGCAGACTGAGCTATCCCTTGTCACCTTTTAGCCATGGCTAGGATGCAGGGCACCAACTCTTGAGATGGCACAGTCAGCAAGGCCCTAGGACTGGCCCATAAAACCATCTTTTCTTCCTAGGCCTCTGGGTTTGTGATGCCCTGGAGACATTTTTCCCATTCTCTTGGCAATTAACATTCAGCTCCTCATTATTATGAAAATTTTGCAGCAGGCTTAAATTTCTCCCAAGAAAAATGCGTTTTTCTTTTCTTTTGTATTGTCAGGCTGCAAATGTTTCAATTTTTTTACGCTGCTTCCCTTTTAAACATAAGTTCCAATTTCAGATGATCTCTCTTAAGTTCAAATTTTCACTGATCTCTAGGACAGGGCAAAATGACACCAGTCTCTTTGCTAAAGCATAGCAAGAATGACCTTTACACCAGTTCCCAGTAAGTTTCTTATCTCTATCTGAAACCACCTTATCCTGGACTTCATTTTCCATATGACTATCAACATTTTGGTCACAACCGTTCAATAAGTCTCCAGGAAGTTCCAAGCTTTCCACGTCCTCCTGTCTTCTTCTTAGCCCTTGAAACTATTCCAACCTCTGCCTGTTACCCAGTTCCAAAGTCACTTTCACTCTTTTCGGTGTCTATAGCAGTACTCCACTCTCAGTACCAATTTCTTGTATTAGGCCATTTTCACATTGCTATAAAGAACTCCCCCAGAGTTGGTAATTTATAAAGGAAAGAGGTTTAATGTACTCACAGTTCTGCATGACTGGGGAGGCCTCAGAAAACTTGCCATCATGACAGAAGGCGAATAGGTATATCTCACATGGCAGCAGGCAAGAGAGAGTGTGTGAGTGTCAGAGGAACTTTCAAACACTTACGAAGCCATCAGATCTCATGAAAACTCACTATCATGAGAATAGTATGGGGAATACCATTCCCATGATCCAATCATCTCCCATCAGGTCCCACCCTTAACACGTGGGGATGATGGGGATTACAATTTGAGATGAGATTTGGGTGGGGACACAGAGCCAAACCATATCAGACTCTTAAAGATGAAGGATAAAGAAAAAAACCCCAAAACCACCAAGGGAAAGAAAAAAAAATAACATAAAGTAGAATTCCATCAGGCAGCAGACTTTTCAGTGGAAACTTTACAGGCCAGAAGAGAGTGACATGGCATATTTAAAGAGCTGAAGGAAAAAAACAAAAAACAAAAAAACTTTTACCCTAGAGTAGTTAGCTGATGAAACTATCCTTGAAACATGAAGGAGAAATGAAGACTTTCCCAGACAAGTAAAAGCTGAGTGATTTCATCAACATCAAAGTTACCCTACAAGAAATGCTAAAAGAAGTAAGTCAATCAGAAAGAAAAGGACATTAATAAGAAATAAGAAATCATCTGAAGGTACAGAACTCACTGTAATAGTAAGTATCCAGGAAAACACAGAATGTACAACACTCTAACTGTGGTGTGTAAACAACTCTTTCCTGAACTAAAAAGCCTAAATGATGAACCAGTCAAAAATAATAACTAGAACAACTTTTCAAGACATAGACAATACAATAGATGTAAATGGAAACAACAAAATGTTAAAGAGCAGGGAGACAAAGTCAAGTGTAGGTTTTCTTTATTTGTTTATGCAAACAGTGTTAAGTTGTTATCAGCTTAAAATAATGGGTTATAGCATAGTATTTGCAAGCACATGGTAACCTCTAACCAAAAACATACAATGAATACCCAAAAAAGAAAAGCAAGAAACTAAATTAAATCAGCAGAGAAAATCACCTTTACTAAGGGAAGACAGGAAGGAATGAAAGAAGGAAGAGAAGACCATAAAACAACCAGACATAATTAACAAAATGGCAGGAATAAGTCCTTATTATCAATAATAACATTGAATGTCAGTGGACTAAACTGTCCAATCAAAAGATATAGACTGGCCAAATGGATGATAAAGTAAGACCCATTAATCTGTTGCATACAAGAAACACACTTCACCTATAAAGATACACATAGGCTGAAAAGAAAGAGATAGAAAAAAAATTCCATGTCAATGGAAACCAAAGAGAGCAGGAGTACCTATATATTATATATGTATATCATATGTGTATATATATGATTATATATGATATATATGATCATATGATTATATATGATCATATATATCATATATAATATATGATCATATATAATATATAATCATATTATATATTATATATGATCATATATCATATATGATCATATTATATATTATATATGATCATATATCATATATGATCATATTATATATTATATATGATCATATATGATATATGATCATATTATATATTATATATGATCATATTTGATATATGATCATATATGATCATATTATATATGATCATATATAATATATAATATGATTATATATTATATATCATCATATATTATATATGATCATATATATAATATAATAGATACATACATTATAATATATTATATATTTTATATCATATGTTGTATATCATATACATCATATATAATATATAATGTATGATATATATTATATATAACATATGATATATAATATGATTATATATCATATATTATATATCATATATTATATGTCATATATCATATATCATATATCACATATATGATATATATATCACATATAATATATCATATATGATTGATATGATATATCATATATAACGTATTATATATGATATAACGTATTATATATGATATATCATATATGTATATGATATATATGTGTATATAATATATGCATATATGTATGTACATATGTATATGTATGTATATATGTATGCATATATGTATGTATGTATACATACATGTATGTATATATGTATACATACATGTATGTATACATACGTGTATGTATACATACATGTATGTATATATGTATACATGCATGTATGTATATATGTATACACATGTATGTATACATACATGTATGTATATATGTATACACATGTATGTATATATGTATACATATATGTGTATGTATGTATATATGTATACGTATGTGTGTATGTATATATGTATACGTATGTATGTATATATGTATACGTATATATGTATATATGTATACATGTGTATGTATGTATATATATCATATATAATATATCTAATATATAATATATGATCTATCTATATATGTTCTATGATATATATGATATATATCATATATATGATATATATGATATATATCATATATATGATATATATGATATTATATGTCATATATTATATATCACTGATATATATCAGTGTGATTATATATGATATATAATATATGATATATATCAGACAAAATATGTTTTGAGATATATATAACATAATATATCAAAATATATATGTGTATATATACACATATGATATGCACATACATGATACACATATGACATATATATACAGATATGATACATACATATCTATACCATATACAATATATAATACATTATATATGATAATATATGATATATATCAGACAAAATATATTTTGAGACAAAAACTCTTAAGAAGAGACAAAGTCACTATATAATGATAAATGGGTCAGTTCAGCAAAAGGACATAAGAATTTTTAATATACATGCACTCAACACTGGAGCACCCACATATATAAAGCAAATATTATTAGAACTAAAAAGAGAGATAGACCCCAATACAATAATAGCTGGAGACTCCACCCTGCACATTCAGCATTGGACAGATCTTCCAGATATGAAAGCAACAAAGAAATATCAGACAATGTGTACTGTAGAACAAATGGACCTATTATGTACAGAACATGTTATCTAATGGCTGCAGAATACACATTCTTTTTCTCAGCACATATATCATTCTCAAGGATAGGCCATATGAAAGGTCACAAAACAAGTCTTAAAACATTCAAAATAAATTAAAATAATACCAGGCATTTTCTTTGCCCACAGTGGAGTAATACTAGATATCAACAACAAGAGAAATTTTAACTATAAAAAATTCATGGAAATTAAACAATATGCTTCTGAATGTCCAGTGGGTCAATGAAAAAATTAGGAAAAATTTGAAAAATTTCTGGAGACAAATGATAATGGAAACACAACATATGAAACGCTATGGAATATAGCAAAATCAGTACTAAGGAAGTTTATAAGTGCCAACATCAAAATAAAAAAAGGAAAAGTTTGCATTTCTCTAATGACCAGTGATGATGAGCTTTTTTTCATATGTTTGTTGGCCACATAAATGTCTTCTTTGGAGAGGTGTCTGTTCATATCCTTTGCCCACTTTTTGATGGGATACTATCTCAGGCCAGTGAGAATGGTGATTATTAAAAAGTCAGGAAACAACAGATGATGGATGGCAAGGCTGTGGAGAAATAAGAACTTTTTTACACTGTTGGTGGGAGTGTAAATTAATTCCACCATTGTGGAAGACAGTGTGGAAATTCCTCAGGATCTAGAACCAGAAATACCATTTGACCCAGCAATCCCATTACTGGGCATATACCCAAAGGATTATAAATCATTCTGCTATAAAGACACATGCACAGCTATGTTTATTGCAGCACTATTTACAATAGCAAAGACTTGGAACCAACCCAAATGCCCAAAAATGATAGACTGGATAAAGAAAATGTTGCACATATACACCATGGAATACTATGCAGCCATAAAAAAGAATGAATTCGTGTCCTTTGCAGGGACATGGATGAAGCTGGAAGCCATCATTCTTAGGAAACTACTAACACAGGAACAGAAAACCAAATGCCGCATGTTCTCACTCATAAGTGGGAGTGGAACAATGAGAACACATAGACACAGGGAGGGGAACATCACACACTGGGTCTGTAGGGTGGTGGGGGGCAAGGGGATGGAGAGCGTTAAGACAAATACCTAATGCATGCGGGGCTTAAAACCTAGGTGATGGGTTCATAGGTGCAGTAAACCACCATGGCACATGTAAACCTATGTAACAAACCTGCACATTCTGCACATGTATCCCAGAATTTAAAGTAAAATAAAAACAACAACAAAAAAGAAAAACTTTAAACAATTAATGATGCATATTAAAGAACCAGAAAAGCAAGATCAAACCAAACCTAAAATTACTAAAAAAAGGAATACTAAAGATCAGAGCAGAAATAAATAAAATTGAAAGAAAGAAAACAATATAAACAACTAATAAAAGTTGTTTTTTTAAACGTTAAATAAAATCAACAAACCTTCAGCTAGACTAAGAAAAAAACCCAGAATAATAGAAATAAAAATAATATCAGAGATGAAAAATAAAACAGTGCAATGGATACTCGAAGCATCATTATTGGCTACTGTGAGCAACTATGTGCCAATAAATTAGAAAATCTAGAAGAAATGGGCAAATTCCTAAACACATACAACCTACGAAGATTGGACCATAAACAAGTTCCAAACCTGAATAAATAACAAAGTAACAAGATAAAAGCTGTAATAAAAAGTCTGCCAATAAAGAAAAGCCAAGGACCTGATGGCTTCACTGCTGAATTCTACCAAACATTTAAAGAGGAATAAATTCCAATCCTACTCCCAAAGTATTTTTAAAAAAGTGGAAGGAACGTGTTTAATCTCATTCTATGGGGCTAGTATTACTCTGATACCAAGAGCAGACAAAAACACATAAAGAAAAGAGAACTACAGCCTAATATCTCTGATAAACATTGATGCAAACATCCTCAAAGAAATACTAACAAACTTAATTCAACAACATATTGAAATGATAATTCATTATGACTAAGTGAGATCTATCCCAGGGGTGCAAGGATGATTCAACACATGCAAATCAAGGAATGTGATATCAATAGAATGAAGAATAAAAGCCATATAATCATTCCAAATGATGCTAAAAAAAGCACTTGGTAAAATTCAACATCCCTTCATGGTAAAAACCTATAAAAAACGGAGTATATAAGGAACATAGCTCAATATAATAAAAATCACATATGTTAGACCTACAACCAGTATCATACTGAATGTGGAAAAACTGAAAGTCATTACTCAAAGATCTGGAACATGACAGTGATTCTAACTTTCACCACTATTATTCAACATAGAATTAAAGTGCTAGCTAGAAAAAATAGACAAGAAATAAAAATAAAGGGCATCCAAACTGGAAAGGAAGAAGTCAAATTTTTCTTGTTTGCAGAAGATATTATCTCATATTTTGAAAAACCTAAGGACTCCACTAGAAAAATCATTAGAACTGACGAATTCAATGAAGTTACGAGATACAAAATCAACACACAAATATCAGTAGTATTTCTATATACCAACAGTGAACAATATGAAAAAGAAATAAAAAGTAATATCATTTACAATAGCCACACATAAAATTAAATACCTAGGAATTTATTTAACCAATGAGTAAAAATCTCGGTGATAAAAACTGTAAAACAGTGATAAAAGAAATTGAAGAAGACATCAAAAAATGGAAAGTTATTTTCATGGATTGGAAGAATCAATATTTTTAAAATGCCCATGGTACCCAAAGCAATCTACAGAGGCAATGTACTGTATTTTGCACTGTATTCCCTATCAAAATACCAAGGATATTCTTCACAGAAATAAAAAAATTCTAAAATTTATATAAAATCACAGAACATCCCAAATAGCCACAACTCTCCTAAGCAGAAGAGTCACATTACCTAATTTTAAATTATGCTACAGAGCTGTAGTAACCAAAATGGCATGATACTGGCATAAAAGCAGACACATAGACAAATGGAACAGAACAGAGAACCTGGAAACAAATCCACATATCTACAACGAACTTATTGTTGACAAAGGAGCCAAGAACACATAGTGGGGAAAATATAGTCTCTTCAATAAATAATGCTGAGGAAACTGAATATCCGTATGCATAAGAATGAAACTAGATCCATATCTCTTGCCATATACAAAGATATCAAATAAAAATGGATTAAACACTTAACTCTAAGACCTGAAACTATGAAACCACTATAAGAAAACATTGCAGAAATTCTCCATGACATTGGTCTGGGCAAAAGTTTCTTCAGTAATAACCCACAGGCACAGGCAAAGTGGACAAATGAGATTATATCAAGTTAAAAATCTTCTGCACTGCAAAGGAAACAAGCAACAAAGTGAAGAGACAACTCACAGAATGGGAGAAAATATTTGCAAACTATCCATCTGACAAGAGATTAATAACCAGGGTATAAAAACAAGCTCAAACAACTTTGTAGAAAAAAAAAACTAGTAATCTGATTTTAAAATTGGCAAAAGATTTGAATAGACATTTCTCAACAGAGTTTTCTCAAAAGAAGAGATACGAATGGCAAAGAGGCATATGAAAATATGCTCAATATCACTGATCTTGAGAGAAATGCAAAATAAAACTACAATGATGTATCATCTCTTCCCAGTTAAAATGGCTTATCTCATGACAGGCAACAACAAATGCTGGCAACAATGTAGAGAAAAGGGAGTCCTTCTACACTGTTGGTGGGAATGTAAGTTAGTTCAACTGCTATGGAGAACAATTTGGAGGTTCCTCAAAGAACTAAAAAGAGAGATAATATTTAATCCAGCATTCCAAAAATCTGGGGATATACCCAAAAGAAAGGAAGTCAGTATATCAAAGAGATATCTGCACTCCTCCATTTACTGCAGCACTGTTCACAATAGCCAAGATTTGGAAGCAACCTAAGTGTCTAACAACAGATGAGTAAATAAAGAAAATATGGTACTTATGCACAATGGAGAACAATTGAGGTATAAAAATAATGAGATTTTGTCACTTGCACAATATGGATAGAATTGGAGGTCATTATGTTAAGTTAAACAAGCCAGGCATAGAAAGAGAAGCATTGCATATTCTGACTTATGTGTGTGGTCGAAAAATGAAAACAATTGAACTCATGGAGATACACAATAGAAGAATGGTTAGCAGAGAATGGGAATGGCAATAGGGCAATGGGGGTGGGAGAAGGTGCAAATGTTAATGGGTACAATAAAAATAGCAAGAATTAATAAGACCTAGTATTTGATGGCACAACGGGGTAACTATAGTTAATAATGATTTAATTGTACATTTTATTGTAACTAAAAGAGTTTAATTGGATTGTTCATAACTCAAAAGATAAATGCTTGAGTGGATGAATACCCCATTTTCCATAATGTGATTATTATGCATTGCATGCCTGCATACATTTATGGAGTATCTCTTGTATCCCATAAACAAATACACCTACTATGTACCTACTATGTTAATTAAAATAAAAATTATAAATAAATACACACATACATACATGGTATTGTATTGTATGGATATTCCACAGTTTGTTTATGTATTCACCTATTAAAGGCATCTGACTTTTTTTTCAGTTTCAGTCAAAATAAAACTGCTATAAATACTCACATTCAAGTTTTTGTGTGAACATAGGTTTTCAGAATAGTTGGGTAAATAACAAGATGTCAACTACTGGATTGTATGGGAAGACTATTTTTGTCCTTGTAAGAAATTACCAAACTGTCTTTCAAGGTAGTTTGCTACATTGCATTTCCACCAGCAATGAGTGACAATTCCTGTTGCCCTGCATGCTCATCACTAGTTATATCATCAGTCAGTATTTTCTGGAGTTTAGTCATTCTAGTATATATGTACTGACATTTTATTATTGTTTCATTTGCATTTTTTAAATGACAAATGATATTGGGAATATTTTTATATGTTTATTGACCATCTGCCCATCATCTTTGATTAGACGACTGTTTAAATTTTTGTCCAGTTTTTTAATTGGGTTGTCTGTCTTTACATTTTTGGATAAAATTTCTTCATCAGGTATGTGTTTCACAAATATTTTCTTCCAGTCTGTGCATTTTTTAATACTCCAATAGTGTCTTTCACAGAACAGAAGTTTTTACTTCTAATGAAGTACACCTGTCATTTTTTCTTTGAAAGTGTTTTTAGTGTTTTATCTTAAAAAAACTCCTCACTGCACCCAAACTTCTCAGTTCACCCACGCAGATTTTCTCTTACATGTATTTAGACATTTTATAGTTTTTCGTTTTATATTTATAAGTATGATCTGTTTTAAGTTAATTTTATTGTAAAATTTGTGTTTGGGTTCTTTTATTAAATATAGATATCTAATTGGTGATGCATCATTTTTTGAGAAAGGCTGCCATCACTCCTTCAACTTTCTTTTATGTCCTTGTTAAAAATCAGTTGATCATATTTATTTTGTCCTATGTCTATATTCTCTTTCTTTGATTTATATGTTTCTTTTAACTGTATCATATAATCTTGGTTATTATAGCTATACTATAAGTTCTGAAGTTGGGTAGTTTGTGTCTCCACATTGTACTTTTTTTCTTTTTTTGGCTATCTTTTGCCTTTCTATTTAAACTTTAGAATAAGTTTGTCTATATCTACAAAGCAGTTTGATGGAATTTTATTTGAGATTGAATGAAATCTGTAGATCAATTTGGGAGAAAAGTGTGTCAGTAATATTGGGGTCTTTCAGTCAGTGGCATAGAATGTTTTCCATATAATTAGATCTTTAACATGTTCCATCTGTGTCTTAACTTTTTGCATACAAATCTGCACATATTTTGTTAAATTTATACATAAATGTTTTATTTTCTGCTACATTGAAAATAATATTGTTTTCTAAATTTCAAATTCCAAAATTTCATTGTTGGTATGTAGAAAAAGAATTGAGTTTTGTACATGAACTTTGTGCCCTGATTTGCTATGCTTGCTGATACACTCCAGAAGATTTTTCCTTGTAGATTTTTGAGGATTTTACATATAGGCTATCATATAATTGGCAAATAAAGACAGGTATTTTTCTTTCCATTAAGAGTACCTTTTATTTTTTGTCTTATTGAATTAGGTAGAATTTCCAGTGAGATGTTCAAAACTGTGGCAACAGAAGTTATAATTGCCTTTTCCCTACTTTAAAGATATAACATTCAGCCTCTGACCATTATTTATGATGTTAGCTTTAGGTTTCATGAGTGTACTTTATCAAGTTGAGAAAGCTCCCATTTATTCCTAGTTTATGAGATATTTTTGTTTGTTTGGTCAATGAATTGATGAATTTTTGCCAAAAGGTTTTGCTGCATCTATTGATATAATCACATACTTTTTCTTTTTTTTTAGCCTGTTGAAATGGTAAATTACATTGATTGGTTTGTGTGTTCAGTCATTTTTGGATATTTGAATAAATTCTGTTTTGTTATGGTTATAATTCTCTTTATATACTATTGAATTCTGTTTGCTAACATTTTGTTGAGGAATTTTGCATTTGTGTTCTTCAGATATATTAGTCTAGTTTTTTCTTTTTAGTTTATTTTTAATTGACAAACAATAATTGTATACATTTATGGGGTACAACGTGATGTTTTCACATATGTATACATTGTGAAATTATTAAATCAATATCTATCACCTCACATACTTATTTTTTGTGGTGAGAACATTTAAAATCTGCTCTCTTAGCAGTTTTCAAACATACCATACGTTATTGTTAACTACAGTCACTATGCTGCACGATATATCTCCAGAATTTATTCTTCCTATCTGAAACTTTATACCCTTTAACCAGTATCTTCCCATCTCCCCCAATCCCTTTTAACTACCATTCTGCTTTTATTTCTGTAAGTTTGACTATTTTAGATTCCACATATATGTGGGAACATGCTGTATTTATCCTTCTGTGCCTGGCTTATTTTATTTGTCATAATGTCCTCCAGATTCATCTATATAAATTTACGTACTTTTCAAGGCTGAACAGTATTTCGTTGTGTATATATACCACATTAGTTTTACTCATTCTTCTGCTGATGGACACTTAGGTTGATTCCATATCTTGGCCATTGTGAACAACACTGCAGTGAACATGGGAATGCAGATATCTCTTCAACATGCTGATTTCATTTTATTTGATATATATCCAGAAATTGAGTTACTGAATTATATGGGAGTTCTATATTTTTAGATTTTAGAGAAAACTCCATAATATTTTCCAAAATGCCTGTACTAATTTACCTTCCTACCAACAATGTACAATGGTTCCCTTTTATCCACACCCTCACCAACACTTGTTAGCTTTTGCCTTTTTGATAAAAGCTACTTGAGCAGCTGCGAGGTGATATCTCCTTGTGGTTTTAATTTGCATTTCCCTGATGATTGCTGTTGAGCATTTTTAAACATTCCTATTGCCTATTTGTATGCCCTCTGTTTTGAGAAGTGTCTACAGGAGGTCCTAGTGACAGGCATTAGGCATAAGCAAGAAATTACATGTATCCAAATCAGAAAGGAATAAGTTAAATTGTCTCTGCAGATGATATGATCTTATATATAAAAACTGTAAAGACTCCACCAAAAAAACTGTTAAAATTAATAAATGAATTTAATAAAGTTGCAGGATACAAAATAAGCGTTCAATAATCAGTAGTGTTTCTATTTACTAACAGTGAAATATCTGAAAAAGAAAGAAGAAAAAAACATTTATGATCGCATCAAAAATACGAAAAACAAGGAGTTGCAAGATCTGTACATTGAAAAACTATTGAAAATATTAATGACAAAAATTAAAGAAGATACAAATAAATGGAAAGATATCATGTGTTTATGGGTTGGAAGAATTAGTATTATTAAAATGCCCATGAAACCTAAAGATATCTGCAGATTCAGTGCAATCTCTATTAAAATTCTCAAGACATTTCTCACAAAAATGGAAAGAAAAAAAAGTAATTCTAGGATTTGCATGGAGCCACAGAAGACTCAAATATCCAAAGCAATTTCAAGCAAAGGGAACAAAGTTGGAGACATCACACAACCTGATCTCAAAATTTACTACAAATATTTCCAATTCAGAAGAGTATGGAATTGGCACAAAACAGGCATATAGATCAATGGCACAAAACAGAGATCCCAGAAATAAGGTAAGTGTCTTCAGCCAATTGATCTTTGACAAAGGTGCCAATAACCTGCAATGGGGAAATGGCAGTCTCTTCAATAAATGATGTTAGAAAAACTGGCTATCCACATGAATCCTTAATTTCACCCCATATACAAAAATCAACTCAAAATGGGTAAAATAATTAAACATTAATAAAAAGATAAAATTACTAGAAGAGAACATACGAAAAGCTCTTGACATTATTCTTGAAAAAGGTATTTGGATACAATCCCCAAAGCACAGGCAAAAAAGGTTTGTACATTTTATGTATTGCAAGGGCTTTATATAAGTTTCAGTATTGGATAATGATTGACTCAGAGAATGAATTAGGAAAAATCTTCTCTGTTTCTATTTTCTGGAATAAATTGTGGAAAATTGGTATTATTTCCTCCTTAAATATTAGGTAGAATTCACCAGTGAAATTATGTGGGTCTCAGGCTTTCTTTTTGGAATAGTCTTAATTATTCAATTGTATATATGTATATCCAAATAGATAATACATCCAAGTTATCTATTTTTTTGTGTGTGAGTTTTGGTAGCTTGGATCTTTCAAAGAATTGACCTATTTCATTTATATTACAAAACGTATGGGCATATGATTTATTTTCTCAGTTTTAAATTTGTATGTGGCATTTTTTGAATCATTTTTAAAATTTTCAATAACCTTTTTGCTTTCTCATATGTTTATATTTTATTTCTTTAAATATTTTAATAATGATTTTAATCAGTTTCTAATTATTCAAAACTCTGGTGGCTTTTGGTTATCTAAAACTATTGGTCATTTTAATTTATTTTGTTTGCTTTTATTTATCTTATTTTTTGAAAATAGTTTGCCTACTTTAAATAATATTTAATATAAATTTAAATATAAAGTCTCCCTCTCTTGAAATCCTTGAAGCCTAAATTGGCTACAACTCATAAGAAGAAGTCCCAAATTTTACTCTTTTTTAGTGTACCTAGATTAATTGAACCTGGATTTTCAGTAAATTAGCTACCTTAGCTTACGGACATCTAAAGGCTGAATTCCCAGATCATTGTGCTGATATAGGCAATTGTTTTCAGTCTAATTCCCTGATTTCATATATCCTTACTTCTCACTCTAGTTTCTGCTTATAATTATCTTCAGCTGTCTGGAGAATCCTTTTATTTCTTGCAAGCTAAAAATATGCATCATAAATATTTGTTTAGGGTGTGTCAAAATAGATTTTCTTAAATAATTTGATAAGCAAAAGCTTACCTTCGTTAAAAAGTAAACTACAGAAAATAAAACTAAATAATACGTAGTAGAAGGTAGGGACTAAAAGAATACATTTAAAAAACAGATAGAACTGAGAGAAAAATTTATAAAGATGACATGTTTAGTAGAGTCATGTAATATATATTTTGTTGTCCATACAGCGAAAATAGCTAAAAAACGAATTATAGGTCTTCTTATAATTGCATGTCACAAGCTAGGTATTACTTACAAACTGAAATATATGAACTTTATTGCTACTAAAATATCTTTCAAAAAAATGGAACTTCTAAATATTTCTTTGTTTTGTTCTTGCAGCTGGTTTATTTTTATTATTTTTTTGAGAATAAGTTCAGTATGACCATGCAAAGTAAAAGCTGATTTTATGATAAATCACTTATATTTTATCATCAAATAATTAGTCAATATTACACACACATGCATATACACAAAGACATATGCACAGATTATTTAAAAACACAGTTTTCATTGTTAAAAAGTGACTAAATTTTTGAAGATGGAAACTGTGTCTATTTTTCTTGAATATTATATTTCTAATTACTAAAGTGTTCTGCACATAAAAGGATCTTAATATTAATTACTAGATAAAGAAATAACTTGCATATTTGATTGCAAATTCAATAGGATAATCTGTCGTAATTTCTCAATTGTTCTTTTTTTTTTGCCTTATTTTAAATAGTGTAAGCTGGTAACAAAAATATATCAGTAAAAATCAAGCATATCTTCATATAATATAGTGATGCACAAATTATTTAGAGTGATGAATCTCTACATACATCAAGCAGTGATAGCATGTGGCCTCCTCAGCTTGAAAGACATTTGTGTTAAGTATCAAGCAAATGTTATTAAAAATAAAAGTGGAGATTTTTGCTAGGTGAAATTTCTATAGCAAAGGAGATTACATAAATCAAATTATTTCAAAGGCTGTGATAGAGTCCTAAGTAATAACCTTACATCAATTAGGAAATGGTAAATTTTGTATTTTTTGCGTTACCAAAATTCGTTAGAAAAGAAAATGAGACTTTCAATAAAATTAATTTTCCCAATTTCAATGTAAATTATAAAATTTATGATCTAAATGAATATATTAAATTGCATGTTTGAAAAACTTTAAAATTATATTTGTAATAAATCTATACGTAAAAGAAATTGTTTATTTACATAGAATACACTATATTAAAAATATTATTTTATCATAATTGGGTGGCTACTGCCAAAGTTGATGCCAACTTTGAAATTGTGTCCCAATTGTTTTCAAGTAAATGGCTGGAATTAGAGGGGCAAAATTGACTGTAAAAGGGTGATGCTTCTGTAATTGGAGAATTATTATCTTCAGTAGGAACAATTTTGTGTAAAGGATTTATCACTTTGTAAAGAGAATTACACCTCAGTGCTTTATAAAATACTTGCTTAGTTAGGAAGATGAAGAGGCACAACAGAGCTTTATCTTCCATATTTTCTAGGGTAGAAAACATGCTAAAAGTATTTATGTTTAACTCTCCAATTAATGTGATCAATCATAAATATATATATATATATATATGAACGTGTTCTTTGTAAAATTTCATTACATGTATTTGTTGTCAATAGTTACTTTATTTTTCAATTTGATTTCTAAGTAAAATTTGTATTTTTATTTTTAAAAAGAAACATTGCAACAATATTTGGAAAGTTTGGTATGGTTAGATAGACATTAAATTCTACAGTTTTACATGCCATCCGGCCGGATATTAAAATAACATTTAACTATGCATGTAGAGATGCCTGGGTTAATCTAGGATGTTCATTATTTCGTCTGTCATTTTATTCCGTTGGTAAACAACCTGATATGCTTTTTTTCAAAACCAGAGCAAGAATGTACTACATAGACGGATTTCTAGGGTATGTTTCAATGTTTGTATTGGAAATAACTTTTTCCATCCAATAATTTAAGTAGAATTATACAAAGAATAAATATTAGTACAGATTGTAGCTCTGTTTGTACTATATCCATGCTAATTAACATTATGGGTAGACAGCTTACAAACAATACACTAATATAAAAGCAATTCACATTAACTTTAAATTTATGACATTTCTCATAAATGTTCTGATTAAGAGATTTCTATAGATTTTTATAATATTATATAATGACTAATCACCCATTTTATGCTTGTTGTTTTGGTTCAGATATGTCATATTAGAGAAATCTCCTTGTTGATTGTCAAATATTTTCTCTCTGAAAGAAACCAAGGTACAATTTTCTGGAAGGATAATCGAGTGATACATTTTTAATTCATTTATTTCAATTTTGTTATTAAATATGTAAAGAATGGTCAAGAATTTTGAAAGGTATAATTTCAAATTAAATATACATAAAATTTACATAAAAAGCACATAATAGGCTCCATTATACACCAGAAACTCTCCCTAAATTCCAAGAAAATAAAAATGAACAGATATGAACGCTATTCTACAGAAACACAATGTATTGAAGTGAGGAGGCATATACACAATGCACTGTAACAAAAGGCAAATTCCTCGGGACACAGAGAAAATTCTATAAGCATTTACAAGGGGAAAAGATTATTCTCATTTGGGTGGTGTATATGTCTATAAGTATCATGGTGGGGTGGAGGAGATGACTACTGAACTGTGTCTTGAAAGATTCATAATACATATGAATATGATAAAAGTGCATTCAGAAAAAAGCTAAGACATGCCACAAGGACTTCGTGAGGGAATATTGGCAAAAACTGAATAATAGTGAAAGACTTTAAAGATTAAAAATACAAATTGTGTCATAGTATTAAGAAAAAATATAAATTTATTAAAAATAGGTACATGAAAAACATACACAGAATCATAGAATTTTAGCACATACCAAAATATACACAATAGCTTGCACATAGTCGGTACCAAATAATTGTTTAATAAAACAGATGAATTTATTTATTTTATTAGATTATATGGCTCTATTATCTTGAAACTTAAAGATTATGTACTTTTTAGGCAAGAATTGAGATTGATTTGCTGTGTTTACCTAGTAACCATTACTATCCCTGAAACATAAGAGTCCTTAAATAAATGTTTGCTAAAGGTTGTTAAATGGATTAAAATTTGTGCTTGACTTATTGTGGAAGCTATTGTAGTTCAGCTAATGTAAGATAGAATATTCACTGATTTGATTTTATGTAAATAAACCAATAAATCATTTGTAAGATTGCTGAAGAACATAATCTCTGTCCCAGAAATTTTTACTACCTTTTAAAAGAACACATTATTTTTGTATAAAATATTATTAACCTTTAATCTTGATGAGTTGAAAGAAAACGTTTACATGGTGGTCTCTTGGGAAGCTGGGTAGACAATGTCTATCTGTAGAGAAGGGTAAAACCCAGAACTCCTAGCAGTCTCTTGTTCTGACACTGTCTATATACTGTATTCCCCTTGCCCCTGTGGTTTTCCACATATGAATTGAGTTTACATTGCTTGGACTATAATTGCTCATCCCTACCATAATTAGTTTATTAGTTTAGCTATACTATTGGGAAGGTCATTTCCCATTGTGTTTATACAAATTTGTTTACAAGCCTATTTAACTCAAATTTAAATTATGCTGCTGTGGGTAAAAATAGTAACAAGTACTTTTTCATGGATTTCTTCAAAGACTAGCTAAAATGATCAATTAACGTGTCCAAGAAAATATGAGAAAATTTATCTTTCAGAAATGTTTTGTATGAAATTCTCAAATGCTTCAAAGTCTTACAACTTTATGTGAAATGATTAAAGACATTTAAAAACAAGAACAAAATCCACAATTATTATTATCCACATTACTTTTGAGTACTGTTAATACAACCATTACAGAGACCTCCAGATAGAAGGAATGATAGTATCTAAATAATAGAAATAGGATAATTAAGTTGCATTTACTTAAAAACAACAAGTCTTTTTGGTTGGAAATAGGATGTATAAAAAAGCTCAATACCAAAATTTAGATGAAATGTACATTTATTGGACAGAATAAAATAAATTTGTTGAGATAGTTTTTAACAATAAAAAAAACCAGGAAAGCATACAAAACAAATAAAAACCTGAATTAGAGCTTTGGACTTCCTCAAATCACATTATTTGTAGTGGATTGATTGACTCCATTTTAAGATAGAGGAGACGAACAAGATGGCCGACTAGACACAGCCAGGAAGTGCCACTCCTCTCAAGAGAGGCCAAGTTATTAGGTAAACCACCATAATTTGAACAGGCATTCAGGGAGAAAATGCTGAAAGTGGATGGAGAGGCAAGGCCGAAGCCAAGACTGAAGAGGGAGGAAGCTGGAAACCCTGAGTTAGCTACCCAAGTGCTAAGGCTAATTCCTGGCCACAAACAATTCCAGGAAAGGACTGAATGAAGGAACTGAGGGATGGTTCACTCTCGCTGTGAGCATCTGATTTTTTAGCTACAAGGGACCTTACACAACCGTGGATGTGTGAGCTGGCAGGGGGATCTCCCTGGGGAGCAGGCAGAGACAGACCTTTGGACAGCATAGACCCCAGGAGCTTTTGTGTGCTGGACCACTGCAGGCAAGAGCAGCCATAGATGCCCATTTCCCAGGGATTTCCATTCTCCTCTGGGAGGCATGGAACCCTAGTGACCTCCAAGCTAGAAGAGAGTTGGGCCAGCTTTCCTGCAGGACTGGGGTGCATCTGCTCTGCAAGCCCTTCTGCCTACAAGCCCCTCCCAGGGTCCATGCCTAGCTGCCCTGTAGGAGCAGGTGCATAGTGCAGTCCTGGAAGGCCAGCCTGAGTGTGTAATTGCACCTGCATACTTTCTTCATGACTCTGGAGCACACTGTATCCCTCAGTGCAGAAAGAACCCGAACCCAAGCCATGGGATATCCCAGTGACCCCAGGGCTGTAGTTTGCAGCTTGGGAGTATGGAACCAAGATTTGTGGCTGGCACTCAAACAGAGAAAGAGCCCCTAATCTCAGAGCCGTGAAAGGGGTGAGATGCATGGGTTCCTGAGCTGGGGTAAGAGTGGAACATGCCTCCCTTCTCAGGTCCAGTCCAAAAAGCATGTGGCATATCTCCCTGCCACAGCTTCTGCCCAAGAAGACCATGTGGCCCAGAAAACCTAACAAAAAAATGTGGGCACAGCACCAGCTATCAGAGGGAGCTCTCTCAAGTTTTACAAGCAGATCTGTTGAGGGAACCATATCACTCCCTCCCCACTGCAGAGCATATCTATGAACACAAGAAGTACAAAAAGCCCTGTGACCAGGTATTAACCTAGCTACCAGTCATTACTGTTAAGCCTCATTCACTGGATTTGCTGCCCAAACTACAACACCTAAATTTTATTCTGCTAATATATACAGCTGTGAAACCAAGTCAAAAATTTACCCACACATAAAGATTCTGTACAGAGCCTTGGGCCTCTAAAAGCATTCAGAAATTAAGCCAACTGATTATTCACAACTTACACCACAGTTAAAGAAATGCCAACCCTCCCAGATGAGAAAGAATTAGCACAAGAACTCTGGCAATCCAAAAAGTCAGGGTGTACCCTTACCTCCAAATGAGTCCACTAGCTCCCCAGCAATGGTTTTTAACCAGTCTGAAATTAGTGACATAACAGACACAGAATGCAGAATCTGTGGCCAGGAAACTCATTGAGATTCAGGAGAAAGTTGAAGTTCAATGCAAGGAATTCAAATAATTTAGTAAAGCAATCCAAGAGCTGAATGATAAAATAGCCATTTTCAGAAATAACCAAACTTAAATTCTAGAGGTGAAAAACTCACTATCAGAATTTTATCAAATAATCAGAAGTATTAGCAGCAGAATAGACCAAGCTGAGGAACTAATCTCAAAACTTGAAGACGACTTCTTTAAATCAACTCAGTCAGACAAAAATAAGGAAAAAAATAAGAAAAATAAGTGAAACCTCCAAGAATATGGGATTTTGTAAAGCGAAAAAATCTATGACTCATTGTCATTCCTGAGAGAGAAGGAGAGAGAATAAGCAACTTGGAAAATATATTTGAAGATACAGTTCATGAAAATTCCTCATCTCTTTAGGGAGGTTTACATACAAATCCAAGAAACACACAGAACCCCAGCTAGATATGACATGAAATGACTACCTCCAAGGCACATAGTACAATATTCATCAAGGTCAACACTAAAGAATAAAGTCTTAAAGGCAGCTAAAGGGCAGGGTAAAGTCACATACAAGGAACTTCATCAGGCTAGCAGCAGATCTCTCAGCAGGTATCTTACAAGTCAGAAGAGATTGGTAGCCTATTTTCAGCATCCTTAAAGAAAATAAATTTTAACCAATAATTTCATATCCTGCCAAACTAAGCTTAAAAGTGAAGTGAAGCAAATGCTAAGGGAATATGTTTCAACTAGACTAGCCATACAAGAGGTCCTTAAGGGAGTGCTAAACATGGAAAAGAAAGAATGACAGTCATACCACAAAAGCACATTTAAGCACATAGCACACAGGCACTATAAAGCAACCACACAATCAAGTCTACATAACAATCAGCTAGCAACGTGATAACAGAATTAAAATCACAGATATCAATACTAACCTTGAATGTAAATGGGCTAAATGCTCCACTTAAGAGACACAGAGTGCAAGCTGGATAAAAAGATCCAACCATCTGTTATCTTCAAGAGACCCATTTCACATTAAGAACAACCACAGGCTCACAGCAAAAGAATGGAGAAAGATCTAACATGTGAACAAAAAACAAAAAAGAGCAGAAGTTGCTATTCTTGTATCATGTAAAATAGACTTTAAACCAATAAAAATTAAGAACAATGAAGGGCATTACATAATGATAAAGGGTACAATCAAACAAGAAACCTTAACTGTACTAAATATATATACACTCAATATTGGAGCACCCAGATTCATAAACCAAGTTCTTCATTGCCCATGAAAACACTTAGACAACCAAACAATAACAGCAGGAGCCTTCACCACCCCACTGACAGCACTAAACAGATCATTAAGGAAGAAAACTAAGAAAGAAACTCTGGACATAAACTCAACACTTTACCAATTGGACCTAATAGACATCTACAAAATACCCCAGTTAACATCCACAGAATATATATTCTTCCCGTCTGCACATGGAACATATTCTAAGATCAACCACATGCTCAATCATAAAGCAAATCTCAATAAATTCAAAAAAATTGAAATTATACCAAGCAAACTCTTGAACCATGGTGAAATAAAAATAGTAATCAAAATCAAGATCTCTCAAAACTACACAAATATAGGGAAATTAAACAACTTACTCCTGAATAACTCTTAGGTGAACATCAAAATTAAGGTAGATTTAAGAAAAATTCTTTGAAATATTGAAAATAGGAATGTGACTTACCAAAATCTTTGAGATGCAGCCAAAGCAGTGTTAAGAGGAAAGTTTATTTCCCTACATGCACTAATCGAGAAGTTAGAAATATCTCAATTTAGCAATCTAACTTTGCACCTAAAGGAACTAGAAAAGAAAAAGCTAACAGAAGAAAAGAAATAACTAAAATCAGAGAACTTATTGAAATTGAGATACAAAAATCCATAGAAAAAAATAAAAAAAGCAAGAGTTTGTTCTTTGAAAAGATGAACAAGATTGATAGACTGCTGTTTAACAGCTAGATTTACAATGAAAAAAAGAGAAGATCCAAATAAGTACAGTCAGAAATAACAAAGATAATATTATAACTGATCCCACAGAATTACAAAAGTTTCCCATAGAATACCATGAACAACTCTATGCATAAAAATTAGAAAATCTGTAGATGAAATTGATAAATTCTTAGAAACACACAGTCTCTAATTGAATCAGGAAAAGATTGAAGCTTTGCATAGAGAAATATCTCACTCTGAAATTGAATCATATGTAATTAAAAAAAAAAAACTACCACCAACCAAAAAAGTCCTGGACCAGATGGATTCACAGTCAAATTCTACCAGATGTATAAAGAAAACCTGGTACCAGTTCTACTGAAGCTATTCCAAAAAAAGGAGGGAATCCTTTCAAACTCAATCTCTGGCAGAAACACAGTCAAGAAAGAAAACTTGAGGCCAATGTCCATGATGAACGTAGACAAAAAATTCTCAATCAAATGTTGGTAAACTGAATCCAGCAGCATATAAAACGGTTAATTCACCATGATAAAGTAGGCTTTATTCCTGGGATGCAAGGTTGGATCAACATATGCAAATCAATAAATATGATTCACCACATAAGCAGATTTAAACACAAAAACCATCTGATCATCTAAGAAAATGCAGAAAAGCTTTCAATAAAATTCAACGTGACTTCATGATAAAAACCCTCAACAAACTAGGCATCAAAATAATATGACTCAAAATAATAAGGGTTGTCTATAGCAAACCCAGAGCCAACATTATACTGAATGGGCAAAAGCTGGAACCACTCCCCTGTAGAACTGAAAAAAAGGCAAGCACTCTGACCATTTCATATTCAACATAGTAGTGGAAGTCACAGCCAGAGCAGTCAAGCAGGAGAAAGGCTACTGGAACTAATAAATGATTTTAGCGAAGTTCCATGATACAAAATCAATGTAGAAAACATCAGTACCATTTATATGTGCCAATACCATCCAGGCTGAGAGTCATATTAAGAACACAATCACATTTACAATAACCACAAAGAAAATGAAACACCTGAGAATACAGGTAACCAAGAAGGTGAAAAATCTCTACAAGGAGAACTAGAAAACAATGCTGAAAGAAATCAGGTGACACAAATAAGTGGGAAAACATTCCATACTCATGGAATGTTTTAATGTTTCATGATAATGAAAAATCAATATCATTAAAATGGCCATACTGCCCAAAGCAATTTACAGATTCAATGCTATTCCTATCAAACTATCAGAATTAGGAAAACTATTCTAAAATTTATGTGGAAGCAAAAAAGAGCCCAAATAGCCAATGCAAACCTAAGCAAAAAGAACAAAGCTGGAGGCATCACACTATCAACTTCAAACAATAAGGCTACCGTGAAAAACCAGCATAGTACTGATACAAAAACAGACACATAGACCAATGGAACAGAATAGAAAACTAAAATATAAAGCTGCTCACTTACAACCATCTGATTTTCGACAAGGTCAATGAAAACAAGCAATAGGGATAGGATTTGCCATTTGATAAATGCTTTAGGTTAACTGGCTTGCCATAAGCAGAAAAATGAAACCAAATTCTTATCTTTCACTAATACAAATATTTACTCAAGATGGATTAAATATTTAAATGTAAGATCTCAAACTATAAAAACACTAGAATAAAACCTAGGAAATACTCATGTCAACACTGGCCTTGGCAAATAATTTTTGGCTAAGTCCCCAAGCAATTGCAACAAAAACAAAAATTGACAAGTGATACCTAATTAAACTAAACAGCTTCTGCCCAGCAACAGAATAAGCAGACAAGCTATGGAATGGGAGAAAATATTCATGAACTATGTATCTGTATTAGTCTTTTTTTTACACTGCTATAAAGATTTACTTGAGAATGAGTAATTTATTAAAAAAAAAAAGAGGTTTAATTGACTCCCAGTTCTCCATGGCTGGATAGGACTCAGGAAACTTACAGTTATAGCAAAAGGTCAAGGGGAAGAAGGCACTTCTTACCTGGTGGTAGGAGAGAGAGAGCAAGAAAACAAGGAAGTGCCACACTTCAAAACCATCAGCTGTTCTGAGAACTCACCCACTATCATGAGAACATCATGGGGGAAACTGCCCCCGTAATCCAATCACCTTCCACCAGGTCTCTCCCGGGACATGTGGGGATTACATTTTGAGATGAGATTTGCGAGTGTCACAGAGCAAAACCATATCAGCATCTGACAAAGGTCTAATATTCATAATCTATAAAGAACTTAAATCAACAAGTTAAAAGCAAATAACTCTATTAAAAAAATGGAGAAAGGACATGGACAGGCACTCCTCAATAGAAGACATATAAATGGTCAACAAGCATGAAAAAAACGCTCATCATCGCTAATCATCAGAGAAATGCAAATCAAAACCACAGTGAGGTACCATCTTACACCAGTCAGAATGACTATTATTAAAAAGTCAAAAAACAACAGATGTTGGCAAGGCTTTGGAGTAAAGGGAATGCTTATTTGTAGTTGGTAGGAATGTAAATTAGTTCAGCCACTGTAAAAGGCAGTCTGGAGATTTCTCAAAGAACTTAAAACAAGGCTACCATTTAACCCAGTCATCCTATTTCTTGGTATATACTCAAAGGAACATAGATCATTCTACCAAAAGACACATGCACATAGATGTGCATCACAGCACTATTCACAATAGCAAAGACGTGGATTCAACCTAGGTGCCCATCAACAGTGAATTGGATAAAGAAAATGTGGTACATATACATCATGGAATACCATGCAGCATAAAGTATAATGTCCCGTGCAGCAACATGGCTGGACCTGGAGGCCATAGTCCTAAGCAAATTAATACAGGAACAAAAAGCAAAACACCACATATTCCCATGTATATGTTGGAGCTAAACATTAAGCACACATGGACATAAACATGGGAACAATAGATACTGCACACGACTAGGCAGAAAAGGGAGGAAAGCGGCACAGGTTAAAGAACTACCTACTGAGTACTATGCTCACTACTTGGGACCAATATACCCATGTAACAGTCCTACACATGTGTCTCCTGTATCTAAAATAAAAGGTAATTAAAAAAAAACATAGGCAAATGACTGAAGGAAGTCAGAAGACACATTCTGAAATCCTGTGAGTGAAAGTTGGGGAAAGGAGTGGAGAGAAGCGTGATTGATGGTGGTGATGAGGAGAGGATGATAATCAATAGGTTAATGAAGAGCACACATTCTAAATGAAATCACTCAGGAAATGAAGGAAGAATTCATGCAAATACTCCCTTATGATTGAAAACAAATGAATGATGTTATTACACCAATTTAAGTTGGAAAAAAAGATATACGGTTTAGAAAGCCATGAAATTTGAAAAAATAAAAAGTAAATTTGAGAAGCTTAAGACAAAAATAAAATAACCATTACAGAAATTAAAGTCACATGAGTAGGCTGCCTCAGAGCATATAGTACATTCCATTGGAAAGATTGGTCCTGACATAACGTATAGCATCAAGTTAAAGCAGGGGAATAAAATTATATGATCAAATGTGGTAGTACTTTTCCATTGCTACATAACCCATTGCCACATATGTAGTTGCTTAAAACAACACAACACAAAACAACATGGAAATTACTATTTCTGTGGGTCCAGAGCCCAGCCCTGAGTTATGTAGGTCTTCTGCTAAGGAGCCCATCATTCTGCCATTAAGGCACTGGCTTCCTGTAGTTCTCATCCAGTTGCTGGCAAAGTTCAGTTCATTACAGGTGTAAGACTGAGGTCTCTGTGTTGTTG